>NC_000006.12:16272121-16423636 GCF_000001405.40 Homo sapiens
GAATCACTTGAACCCTGGAGGCAGAGGTTGCAGTGAGATCATGCCACTGCACTCCAGTCTGGGTGACAGAGCAAGACTCCATCTCAAAAGCAAAACAAAACAAAAAACAAAAAAAACACTCTTAAAAACATCACATGGATAGGTCATAAGTTGTTGGATCATTCCATTTTGGGGAATATATTTACAGTTCTGCACTGTTACAGATAATACATCTTTGTAGTTAAATGTTTGTCCACACTTATGATTATTTCCTTGGCAGAGAATCTTAGAAGAATTATTGAATACAAGGAAGTGCATATTTCTTTTATATGGACAAACGGCTTTCTGGGAAAACTCATACTACAATAAATTTTCCCAAAAGAAATAGAGATTCCATCTGATGTTTTCTCTACAGTATTTACTGTTTACAACTATTGATAATTTGTTAAGTGAAAAGTAGTACCTCATTGGTACCTTAGTTTACATTTGGTTATTCAGGAGGTTGAACACTTTCCGTTTTTCTCAGCCACTTTTATTTCTTTCAATAGTGTGTTCCTGTCCTTTGGCACTTACTCTGTGAGGTATTAGCGTTTTTCTTATAGGTTTGTAAGAGCTCTTATTATGTTAAGGATAATAACACTTTGTCAAAATTGTAGATATTTTTCTCTACCTGGGTATTTGTTGATTGTATGAATATCTGTGTTTATGTGTATGTCAGTTTTTTTTCTTTTTTCTTTTTTTTACATAGAGATGGGATTTTGCCATGTTGCCCAAGCTCGTCTCAAACTCCTGGGCTCGAGCAATCCACTTACCTCAGCCTCCCAAGTGCTGTGGTTATAGGCGTGAGCCACTGCACTTGGCCAAGTTTTTAGTTTTTATGTAGACAGCTCTGTCATTATGTTTTTTCACTTTTATGCTTATTGAAAGTATTCAAGGTTTCCTTCTGAATTTGGGGAGTATAACTTTAATTTTAATTCTTTAATCTACCTCTAGTCCTCTTTCTGGGCCATCTGTGATTTTTCCATTGTCAGCTACTGTTTGGATTAAAGCTTTAAGCCCTCCTCATCACCTTTTCCCCACATCCTTTTATATGAAGTTAAAAGTCACTTTGTCTACGTTAAAAAAGAAAAATTCCCTCTGGGAAGCAATTCAGAGAGAAGACACTTGGACTTCAGTGCAAAAGACATGAGTGGAATGAGTAAGGATTCATTTTGCAAAATATGACTTTGCACAGTTGTGAAAACTCAGCCAGGGCATCTTGCCAAGTATCCTATATACTGGCTGAAGAATCCACAGGGCAGTGAGTTGTAATAAAAAGGGCTATTTTTGCACTCCTACACTCCTGCAGTGAAAGAGCTTGTACTGTTTCCAAACCAGACACATCCTTCTGGTTGATAGATTCTGCCACTTCCTGGAGGCTTGTGTGTTCTTAGGCCAAAGCTTCATGTTCTGTAAACTGAGCACGTGCTGATGCTATGTGGTCCATGAGGGCTCATCTGCCCTTTCCTGTCTAGATGGGAATCCCAGCCCTAGAGAGTGGGGCACACTGCTATTTTCTTAACTGCGTTTTCTAATTCTGACTCTCTGGGGTTCCATAAAGATTCTTCAGGGGCTTTGCAAACTGTGAAACATTTTTTTGCCCAACACTAAAGATATTAATTACCAAGAGTGTTTCATTGCTGACTTTTTGTATTTGGGGGTCCCTCTAAGATTTTTTTTTTTTTTTTTTTTTTGAGACAGAGTCTTGCTCTGTCGTCCAGGCTGGAGTACAGTGGTGCCATCTTGGCTCACTGCAGCCTCTGCCTCCCGGGTTCAAGTGATTGTCCTGCCTCAGCCTCCTGAGTAACTAGGACTACAGGCATGCGCCACCAGGCCCAGCTAGTTTTTGTATTTTTAGTAGAGACAGGGTTTCACCATGTTGGCCAGGATGGTCTCAATCTCTTGACCTCATGATCTGCCTGCTTCGGGCTCCCAAAGTACTGAGATTACAGGCGTGAGCCACCAAGCCCAGCCTCCTCTAAGATTTTTGTTGTTGTTGTTGATTGCTGAGATGTCTGAAAAGCCCTGACCTGGACTCTCTAAGATCTCTTCTAGTTCTTAAATCATATAATGCTGTATCTTCTCATGCCAACAGCTCACCCAAGGGGCCTTTCCCAAAAGTGGTCTCCAGGTATGAAATTCTGTGTTCCTTTTTTGTCCCCCAGCTGCCTGGTGGCTTTAGGACATGCACATCCTCGTGTTCAGGTGTGGGGTTCCTCACCTTTATACCAGCAATAGTAGTTCATGATCATCAGCTGTATTCTTTCTGTCTCAGGCAGGGAACGTGGTGACAGGAGAAATGGTAGAAGAGCTTATTCTTTCCGGAGCAGATATCATCAAAGTGGGAGTTGGACCAGGTAAGACTTGTTAGGAGCACAGCAGAGGACGTGTGTGGGGAAGAATGGGATCTGGGGCTTGCGGGGACTGCAGATCACTGGAGGGGATGCATGAATGACTCATTCACAGATATTTAAAGCATGCTTTTTCTGGAAGCATAATTGAGCTTCTCGGGGAAGCCCCTGATGAAAAGTATTGTTGAGCTGCTTTTTGATGCCCCCAGGGATTTTCTAAATTATGGTTAGAATATATGGATGTGGTCAGAATATGAGGGCTTGGTTTCAGAACCAATGTGGAAGAATGTAGATTTCACTAATGACCCCATACACCTTGCAGAGGAAGGCGATAGGTGAAGAATCCATAGAGACAGTTAATAAACATGAATGACTCCAGTTTATGTGAATGTTTGAGGGACCCCAAACATTGCAAATAAGCTTGCAGTGATGAGGCCACATTCAAACTTGACCCATGGCCTAGGTAATGATCACCTTTGGTTACTCACCTGATACGTATTAGATGTAGATTTTGCCCATGTTCTTCTCCCAGGCATGCTTTCTTAGGACCACCCATTGGCATCTTAAGCAGAAGAACGAGGTAGAGCCTTCTGTCCTTGTCATGGGTGGCGCCATTTTCTCATGGGGCAGGGTTACTGTTCGCTTTCCTTCTTTGCCCTGCTTGAAGATGAGCTGCCATGTTTTAAATTCATCCGTGCACATCCAGTATTAACCAGACACTAAAATTGAGGAGCAAGAAAGAATATACACATTTTCACTTGGGACTGAAAAACAGCAAAGATTTTTCAAAAGAATCTCATACCCAAATGACACTACCAAAAAAGGAAGCAAACCTAAACCAATATGAGAGGAATCTGTGGGAAAACGCACAGCTGGGAGGCGCAGGAGACGCTGTTGAGCTGTGACTTGGCTCCGTGATCAGCCTGAGGGAATTGGATGTGTATGAAGAGAATATTAGGAAGAAGAACCCTGTAGATTCGTAAAAATACCCAAGCTTTTAACATACAGGGAGATTTTCAAGGTTAAGTTTTTCATATTGCCACTCATTTAAGCCAGTTAATAATGTATTCTGAGCAAATGGGAAGAGGTCTTTACTGAGTATCTACCATTATTGAAAAGGCAAGAAAGGATAAGGCCTCGTTCTTCCTTTCCAGGCTGCCTCCTCTTAGGGCAGGCTGTAATAGACAGACTGATAATAGAACAAAATAGGCTAATAGATTAGGAAGACTCTTTTTAGTCCCAAAGGCAGGGACACTCACTAGTCACCTGTTTAATCAGAAATATGGGCCTGATGTGGTGGCTCACGCCTGGTCTCCCAGCACTTTGGGAGGCCAAGGTGGGTGGATCGCTTGAGCCCAGGAGTTTGAGACCAGCCTGGGCAACATGGTGAAACTCTGTCTCTACTAAAAATAGGAGATAAAAATTAAAAAGTAGTCAGGCACAGTGGTATGCACCTGTAGTCTCAGCTACTTGGGAGGCTAGGGTGGAACGATCAGCTGATCCTGGGAGGTGAAGGTTGCAGTAAGCTGAGATCGCACTACTGCACTCCAGTCTTGGTGATAGAGCAAGACCCTGTCTCAAGAAAAAAAAAAGGAAATATGTATTGAATGTTCACTGGCTACCATTGTGTTGGGCGGGTGCTGTACAGGATGTGAAGGTGTGTGAGAAGCTTCTTGGCTCTCAAAGCTTTATTTTTTTTGAGACAGTCTTGCTCTGTTGCCCAGGCTGGAGTGCAGTGGTGTGATCTCAGCTCACTGCAACCTTCGCCTCAGAGGTTCAAGTGATTCTTCTGCCTCAGCCTCCTGAGTAACTGGGATTACAGGCATGCACCACCATGCCCAGCTAATTTTTTGTACTTTTAGTGGAGACGGGGTTTCACCATGTTGGCCAGGCTGGTCTCGAACTCCTGGCCTCAGGTGATCCACCCGCCTTGGCCTCCCAACGTGCTGGGATTCCAGGTGTGAGCCACCACACCCGGCCCTCTCAAAGCTTTTCTAGATGTGGTCTCGAACATTTACTACACTTGTTTTCTTCTTGCACATCTCTGTGTCTGCATTCTATTTCCCCAGAAGCTGTATTGTCCTTCTGCTCTCACTGTATCTCCCCACCCCTCTGGCTGTCTGTGTAGGACAGATGTGACTAAAGAGAATAAGGGGCTTTCTCTGAGCCCAATGCATGGGAGCTACTTCTTTAAATTGTTTGGAGACCATATTTAAGTCTCACACATTCTTTATGGTAAAAACATTGCATATTACATATCTAAATGATAGCATTATTGGATGTCTATTGATTGATAGATTTCATTCATTATTGAGCAACTCCTGGGAACTGGGAAAAAGCATCAGAAACGGATTCCCTGCCCCTCTAGTCAAGAGAAAGTATGCACCAACTTCTTCTTTCACCTAGGTGTTAATCAGAACCGCCTGTGTGTTATTTGAAGCTTCTTCCTTGGCTGTTTCCAAGAAAGGCAATTGGTCTACCCTTTATAGAGCCCTCACTACTATCAGAACCCCAGGCCTACTGCAGCTGAGGCCCCCACCCCCGGATCTAGCAATTCAATGGGAGAGGAGGAGAAAAGCTGAGGCTGAACCGGGGGTTAAACCTTTTATTCTGCCGTGCACAACGTCTGGTTGCAGGGCGGGGGGAAGGCGCCTTCGTGGGAATGAGACTTCTTGGCTCCAGGACTGTGAGTGACACATAGCAGGACACAGGGAGCTACAGGACTTCTGTGGACTCTGCCCCACAGCTGATGCAGGAGAGGGGCTTGCCCTGTCTCTCCTGGTTTCTCTGCTAAATCCAGGCCTGGGGACACAGACATACTTCTCTGTCTGATCTTGTCCCTAAAGACCCCTGGCAGAAATTAGCATCCTACAAGGTGGTGCCGGCCAGGAGCCGGAGATTAGGCTGCGCCTCAAAGCATCCCACCCCCGGGTCTGGTGGGAGGGAGGAGTTCACTTCCACCTTTACCCTGTCCCCAGAGCGCCCTCTCGTGCACACCACAAGACCTCCGGGAGGGGCTGAGTGAGTGGCAGTGGAGACAGGGATGTGGGTGACTCATTCATTCTTGAGTCCACACATTCTTTCAGTGACTATTTATAGTGCCTTATTGTATATGAGGCTCTGTTCTCAGCACCTGATAACAACAGCGAATGTCCACGGAGCCGACCACCCAGTACAGAAGACAGACCCTTAACATTCTCACACAGATCCTGATTGAAATGCCTCTTTTTGAAACTGTGATGAACAACTCCCCTGGGGCAGTGACATTTAAGAAGAAGCTGGAAAGATGAGAAGGGTTTGGCTAGGCGGGCTGGTACAGAGGGGAGTGTCCAAGAGAGAGAACATTGTGTACAGAGTCCCTAAGGTGGGAAGAAACTTGCCCCATTGGAGAAGCAGTGGGGAGGGAGGGGAGCAGGTGGAGCTTGATTCTGCTGATCTGGGTAAAGTGGGGTGCTGTGGCGGCACCGGGAAGCTTGAATAAGGGGAGGTATGATAAAGAGGTCAGAGTGCGACTTGGCCTGGACCTAACTGGGAGAACAACCAGGACTGGGGCTGACCGTGGGACAGGCAGGCAGGAGGGTGCTGGTGTGAGCCCTGGCCTGGAAGTGAACCTCGGGCTAGGCTGCAAGGGACTTGAGGTGGGGCAGCCAGGAGGGAGATGGACAAACAGCTGGGCCCTGTGGAGCACAGAGCTGAGTGAGAGCAGGTGAGGGTATGGAGGGTGTCGTGCTGCAGGCCAGGCCCTGGGCCAAGCGGTATCCCTCCCTGTGCCATTTGTTCTCTGCCACAACCCCAGGAGGTTGTGTTTCTCTTTGGATTTTACAGGCCGGGCAGTGAGGCTTAAGAGAGGTGAGTCATTTGACAAAGGTTGAAGGTAAAGAAGCTACGAGCCAGTGGGAGGATTCTGAGAGGTCCTTTAAAGCAGAGTGTAGATTTGTAGAAAGGTGGAAAGGAGTGGGTGTTTAAGTGTGGAAAGGTCAGTGCCTGGCTATTGCATGGGAGCCAGTGCCACAGGGAGGAGTGGCAGTGACAGGTGCATGGTAGAGGGGAAGGCGATGTCTGGGACATCAGCCAGTGACAGTGATGAGGACCGGAGGGGGTGCATGACCAGGTGGTGTGGTTTACAGTGACCTCCATCGTGCAGATGGGGCAGCCTGTTCCCCACATCTCCTCTGCCACAGAGGTTCACCCTGGTCCCTAAAGCAGGGCTGCAAAGGTAAGGGGGACGCATTTCATGTCACAGTCTTCTCATGTATAACCATCTATTTGGGGACAACTTCTTTCTCTGTGCAGGTTCTGTGTGCACCACCCGCACCAAGACGGGAGTGGGGTACCCCCAGCTGAGTGCCGTCATTGAGTGTGCCGACTCTGCCCATGGCCTGAAGGGCCACATCATCTCTGTGAGTCTCCACCCGGGGCTGAGGCTGGGGTGTCTTGGGAGGCCCCTGCTCCCTCGCTGCTCTTCTTTCACTGGCTGGGCATCCTGTGGGCATGGGAGGGAGCTGGGCACTGCGGTCACAGCGCTGACATTCAGCAGAAACAGAGGCCCTGCTGCCCACGGATTCCACAGTGAGGGTGGCAGGCCCAGTAGGCAGAAGCCATACAAGCAGGTGGGTGGTCCATCTGATGAGGGATGTGCAGGCAGCTTTCAGAGCACAGGGTAGGCCAGGCCACAGCTTGCTAGAACAGTTGTAATAAAGCCCCACAGACTGGGGGCTTCAATTTCAGTGTCTCACCATTCTGGAGACGAGAAGCCCAACATCAGGGTGTTGGGGGGGGCATGCTCCCTCTCAGGGCCCCAGGGAAGGATCTGTTGCAGGCCTCTCTGTGACCTTCTGCTGGTTCCTTAGCTTGTGGCGTCCTCTGTGTGTGTGTCTCTGTGTGCAAACATCCCCTTTTCCTGAGGATACTAGTCCTTTCAGATCAGGGGCCACCCTCCTCCAGGATGTCCGCATCTTAACTGATGACGTGTCCATTGTTCCTGTTTCCAAATAAGGTCACATTCTGAGATGCTAGGGGTTAGGATGGCAACATGCGAGTTTTTGGGGGGACCCAGTTCAACCCATAACAGGCCACGTATCCCATATTCAGGGTCAGGGAAGGTTTCCTGGAGTGTAATAGAGAGAGCTGATGGTTGAAAAGGAAGTTTTCAGATGAGAAGAAAGAAGGGAACAGAAAAGCACTGGGGAACCAAATCTCAGTCACTGCATCTGGGGCGAGTGACCTGAGAGGGGCAGGCGTGAGGGGCAGCAGGAGATAAGCTTGAGGGCAAGTATGGACAAGAGCTGTGGGATCCACCTTTAAGGATGGGACTTCTCCAAGAGCACTAGGGAGCTATTGCAGAGGTCTGAGTAGGAGAGTGCCCAACTCACTGCCTTGGGTCAGATTGAAAGGGGCAAAATAAAAAAGAGAGCCCAGCTGGGACGCGTTAGTAATTCAGGAGGGGGAGGTGACTGTGCTCTGCAGCAGGCTTGAGAGCCATCTCCAGAATTGACTGACATTTGGGAGGCAGAATTAAACAAGTGTCGGCAATGGAGTAGGTGCTTGGGGGGCACTGGAGAAGGAGAAGGAGGAGCAAGGCTGTGGCTGGCTCATGTGCTGGCTCACCTGGAAGATGGCTGCAAAGGAAGAGGTTCGGGGCTGGTGTGGTGATCACTATGGCACGTGTCTGTTGATTCTGAGGTGCTTGAGGGGCATCAGAAGGGAAATTGCACATGAGGCATTGTGTTCATAGTTGGAGACCTGGCAGCTTTTAGCCCATAGATGATGAAAGTCTTGGGAATGGTGCTCAGGTAACAACTGAAGCTAGGATCAAGGTCTTTCACTCGCTGTCCAGTGCAGATTGCCTGGGCCCCTTCTAATGCCTCATCCAAATTTTTCACCCACCCATCCATTCATCCAGCAAGTCTCTATTAAGCATCTACTGTGATAGTATCTGAAATAAATGGTCAAAGGTTTATTGGTTAATGACAGAGTTCTAAGACTCTCCACTCAATACCCTTTGCCCCAGTGAACAAATTAATATCCATTTATTGAGCAACTAGTGTGTAAAAGGCTGACATAGAACTGTCGGTCTACATTTGCTAAGAGGTTATTCAACTCACGGGAGCGGCCAGGCAGTAGTACCATTCCGCAGTATGTCAGTGGTTCTCAAATCCTGAGTGCAGCCTTGTCTGAGTCTGGCTGCGTGAGGATCACCAGAGAGGCTTTTACAAATCAACATTCCGGGACCCCATCCTAGTGAACTGGCTCTTTCAGAGGTTAGTCCCCAAAATCCCCATATGTAATTAGTCCTGTCTCCATTACCTAATAATGTTAACCATTGAGCATCTCCATCAAGTCAAAACTTGGACCCTATATCGTAAGTGTTGAATGACCACTATTTCCAAAGTAGTGGAGTTCTGATTAATAAAGTTTTACTCTGAACATATTCTGAGATCCTTATGTCTTTCTAGAAACTTCAAACTTGCTTAGTTTACAGGGCTGTTTGGCCAAAGATTGGTGGTAGGCAGGGTGGGGTGGAGGCTCTGTGTGCCCCAGAGGTGAATCTGATTGGAAATCAACTTAGCATCTCTTTACACAGCACCACCTAATTTATAGTGTATCTCAGCAGTTCTCTTAAGCGTGGTGCCCAGACCAGCAGCAGCAGTATCAACTGAGAACTTGTTACAAATTCTTGGGCCCCACCATCGACGTGACCTACAGAATCAGAACTCTGCAGGTGAGGCCCAGGAACCTGTTTAAACACGAGCCCTCCAGGTAGTTCTGATGTCCTCTCAAGTGTGAGACCCACTGGCTTATAGAGTAGAGGCTCAGCATACGCTGGCGGGGTGAGTGTTCCTGAACCAGGTCTCATCTGCTGGTGCCCAAGGCAGCAACTTCTCTGAATTTAACAGTTAGGGACAATGACATCCCAAGCCTGGGGCACTGGTGCAATAGGAAGGTAGCACTTCTGATCTTGCTTGTGTTCTCTGAGGTTCTTTTTTTTCTTTTTAGTTTTTACTTTTTTATTTTATTTATTTTTTATTTTTTTGAGATGGAGTCTTGCTGTATCGCCCAGGCTGGAGTGCAGTGGCATGATCTCAGCTCCCTGCTAGAATGCCTCCCGGGTTCAAGCGATTCTCCTGCCTCAGCCTCCCGAGTAGCTGGGATTACAGGCACGCGCCACCACGCTCAGCCCATTTTTTTTTTGTATTTTTAGTAGAGGCAGGGTTTCACCATGCTGGCCAGGCTGGTCTCGAACTCCTGACCTCATGATCCGCCCGCCTCAGCCTCCCAAAGTGCTGGGATTACAGGCGTAAGCCACCGTGCCCGGCCTCCGAGTTTCCTTTTACGTCAATGCTGAGAGGTCTCCTAGATGGGGTTAGGAGTTCCATTTAGCTGGAAAAGCAAATGAATGGACTTAGTAGAATTTGGACCTTTGCCCTCAGCTCAGTCCTTGTAAGCAGCTGAGTGTCTTGAGGTTCAGAGCAGCCATTGCCCCCACACTCCCTTTGTCTAACAGGGCACGGGCACGTTTCTGTCACTTGCCAGTAGCCCTGAACCTGCTAGAAACCCACCAGGTGTTTTGGATCCTGCCACTTGGTCCAATTTCCTTCCAGCTGTCCCATTTTACCCTTTATTTGCTGAATTAGCACACTGGTGCCATTGAAGTTCAAAGGAAGCCACAACATGGTGTCTGTTGAGCATGTACTGATACCCAAGAGGCTGGGCTTCAGTCGTGTTTCTGTTGTGGCCCACATGGGCTTCAGAGAGGCAGAGGGAGGAAAAATTCAGGATACTTCCTGCATAGGTGAAGATTAAGGTGGGACCAGTTAATTTTTTGTTATCACACCATTATTTAGAAATACCTAAACAAATTCATTCAAATAATTAATCTTTTTTTTTGAGTCTGGAAAATTTTCCCAGCAAAATGTGTTTAACCTAGGAAAAGTTAGAAATGCAAATAAACATAAAAAGGAAAATAAGTATTAGCAGTAATGCTATCATCTTAAGATAACCACTGGTTCTAAACTTGTTTTTCCATTTTTATAGCTGTGTGACCTTAGGAGAGTTGCTTAACCTTTCTGAGCCTCTTTCCACCGTCCCCGCCGTCTACGCAATATCTCCTTCAGGTTCATGAGTTTGAATGGAAAAATGACTTTTAAGTTCAAAAGAGTTGCTGGTTCTTAGTAGGTGACTGATTTGAACTCCTTTCTCTGCCTACTCCATGTTTGCCATACCATCCTTCCTTTGTTTTAGGAATAAGCAAGTATTTTTCTTTTTTCCTTTTTGTTTTTTCATTGTCAGTATTCAACATAATGTGAGCAAGTATTTTTTTTTTCTTTTTTTTTTTTGAGACAGAGTCTTGCTTTGTCACCCATGCTGGAGTGCAGTGGCATGATCTCGGCTCACTGCAACCTCTGTCTCCCAGGTTTAAGTGATAGTCCTGCCTCAGCCTCCCGAGTAGCTGGGATTATAGGCATACGCCACCACACCCAACTAATTTCTGTAGTTTTAGTAGAGACAGGGTTTCACCATGTTCGCCAGGCTGGTCTTGAACTCCTGACCCTAGGTGATCTGCCTGCCTCAGCCTCCCAAAGTGCTGGGATTACAGGTGTGAGCCACTGTGCCTGTAGCCTGAGCAAGTATTTTTAAGCAAAAGAGGCAGGCTGACAGTTCACAAGTTATCCTTCATGTCCTGTGATGCCATTTGTACTTAAATATAATGTTAACTCTTTTGGAAAAACAAAAAAAGGACTCCTTGTACATTACTGCTTTGAATACTTGCACAGAACAAACAAATTACAAGCCCAAATGTTGTTGTTTTTAACAACCTTTCAGCAGCTATGAATGTTTATGTGTGAAGATGCATGTATGTCTTGATTGCTGGAGCTACACTGCTTCCCGAGAACATGAAAGGACACTTTGAACACTTTTGGAAATATAAACAGTAGCAGGAAGTAGACTGCCATGTCTGTCCTAAGGCATCATGTGAAGTTGGATTGCTCTTGGTTAAATGTACAACCATTAACCATATACAGTTGTTTGGTCTACGCTGACCATTTCACAAGTGCACATACAAAAGCACCCTGTGAGCGGATGACGCCATAAATATGATTTCCTCTTTGCAATACGCCATACAGTTGTATTAACTGTGGATCTCTTGGCCCATCCTGGGAAGAGAAAGGCTGATTTTCTTGGGGTCCCAGTGGCACAGGGCTCCTGATTCAGGCCTCATCACAGACCACAGTAATAAGAAATTTTCAGGACACCACAGGAGACACAAATGAGTGAACAAAAGAGTGATTTTTTTAAAAGTCATACATGTGTAGGACTTATTTTAATGGGAGCATGAGTTTATTTAATGTGTTTGAGGCCAGAAGTGTGAAACACTGTGTAGAGCTGGTTTTGATAAAGAGATAAAGCACTTTAAAATTAATTGGCAGGGCAAGCGAAGGGCATTTTGAGGTTGTACCTTTGAAAGGTAAAATAAATAAATATGCCAGGATTTTGAAGCATTAACAAGGGGTATAGAGCCACAAGCCCTGTCCCTGTCTTCACACAGTGGGTTTGGGCCAGATAACATACGGCAAGACCACCTCTGAAATAATATTCCTCAGTGCTCTGTGGCCCTCTGGGGGTCAGAGAAGCCATGTATGAATAACACATTTGATTGAGGAAATAACTGTGGTCAGTAAATGTTTGTAAAGAAAAGGTCCAGCCTTCACACTTAACCTTTTGATCAGAGCTGCAAAGAAGTAGTGAAATAGTATTGGAGTTCTAGCTCCTGGAGTGACAGGCCTCACTGGTAGATAGAGAAAGGGAACTGAGTCACAGAGACCCTATGTTCTCAGTTTGAGATGTTCTTCACAAGGTGGGTCATCCCATTTCCCTGCTCTCCAACTCCAGAGGTGTGTGCACTTTCCTGCAGGTTGTAACACGGGGTAGCCTGGGCACCCTGTCTTTTCTCTATTCCTTCCCAAAGTGGGTCCCACCTTCTGCGGACAGGTGCTTCCCTCTGAGGTCCTGCTGTTTCTCCTAGACCCACACTTAGCTTTGGGCTGTGTCACTGTCACGTGAGCCCTGACACTGTTGCTGTCTCCCCTTGCACCATGGCTTTCGTGACTGTCCCCGTGTGTCTGGCTGCTGCTCCAGCGTACTGTTGCTGTCCTTTTGCCCCTTGAATTGCGCCCAGGCTACATTAGGAATAGCAGGTAGCAGCCTGGGCATTTGGTGTCTTGTGTTTGTAAGAAAATGCAGCTAGTGGCTGGGCGCGGTGGTGCACGCCTGTAATCCCAGCACTTTGGGAGGCCGAGGTGGGCGGATCACCTGAGGTCAGGAGCTCAAGACCAGCCAGGCCAACGTGGCGAAATCCCGTCTCTACTAAAAGTACAAAAATTAGCTGGGCTTGGTGGTGGGCACTTGTAATCCAGCTACTCAGGAGGCTGAGGCAGGAGAATTGCTTGAACCCAGGAGGCAGAGGTTGCAGTGAGCCGAGATCACGCCATTACACTCCAGCCTGGGCGACAAGAGTGAGACTGTCTCAAAAAAAAAAAAAAACAAAAAAAAAAAAACAGAAAAGAAAAGAAAATTCAGCTAGCTCTGCATCCTAGAAGACTTGTACTGTGTAGCTGGAGTTTAAACATTACCCCCAACAGCTGAACCTTGCTGGGCAGCCCAAGATAACAGACTGGCCCTGCTACACATTAAACCAGCCCAAGTGTGGTCTGCATGGGCAGTGTGGGTGGAAAAACAGATGTTTGATTTTAAGGTAACTTTGTACCATACATGAGGAATAGGAAACATGGAGGTACCTGGAAAGATAAAAGGATTAACTCAATGTCCTTTTCTTGGCTCTTACAAGAATTCAACCCTTGTACTAAATAAATCTCACCTCACACCAGGCAGAGAGGGAAAGGTGACTCCTGAGTGAGAATGAGTGTGGACAGTGGAATGGCTGGGTGTGTTATGTAGGGGGCTGGCATGGGATGAGGGCTGAGCCCCTCTGCCGCTCACAGCCCCTGCTGCCTCCTGCTCTGCAACAGAAGTGTCTGAGCCCAGGCAGGCAGGTGGGCAGTGGGTGGTGCCAGCTTCTGACCCACAGAGGAAGCCTGGATGGGCCTGGGGAGTGAAAGGTGCAATATTGAGGGGAGTACACTCGATCAGACAACAACAGCCGTGGTAGGGGAACTTGGGCCCGTGGGCTTGCTGGGGGCTGTGGTGGGTCTGAACCCCCAGTCACTAGGTCATCTGGGGGGAGGGGACAGCCTGGCTGAGCTCCCGCTGATGATGTCCTGTCCTTGCTTTTTCCTCTGTGAAGGATGGAGGCTGTACGTGTCCAGGGGATGTCGCCAAAGCCTTTGGTAAGGCCGGGCCCTGGTGCAGAGGGAGGGAAGGAAGGAAGGAGGGAGCTCCCTACACCTCTCCAGCTGGCAACCTGAATGAGGAGGGGGACCTGGTGGGGAAGTTCTGGGTCTCCTGGAGGTTCCTCTCCCTGGGTTTCAGCCCCAATTGGCCCAAATCCTGGACCGTGGCAGAGCAGGTCACAGATGCCCCAGGAGATATCTAGGGGTGACGTCCTGCAAGCCAGGAGTGGGTGAAGTCACGGCCTTTTCATCCCAGGGAAGAGAAAGCTCAAGGGACCTGTCCAAGGGGATGGTGCCAGGTGTGATGTGTAACAACTACAGAGGGGGTTTTTTGGACCCAGCTTGGAGAAGTCCCGTGGAAGGGACAGGAGGAATCCCGCAGCGGTTTCTCCCTGGAGGCTGGAGCCTGCCTCCCGCTAGGGGGCAGCAGTGCCTGCTGTGAGCCCGTGGGATTGGGGATGGGGAGCGGTGGTGGGAGGGCAGCAGGTCCTGAGCTTTTCTCTGGAAAGCACTAGACGCTCCAGCCTCTCAACACCACAAGCAGTAAAGTACGGCTGCCGAGCCATGTGTTGGCCATAGAACTGCAAATGGCATTTGGAAGTCAGAGCTGGCCGCGTGGCTGTGGGCTCCAGAATGTGAAATGGGCGTTGTGGGTGCCGGCGGGAGGCAGAAACGAAGCTCCCATGCCTCCGCCCTTTGCTGATGCCAGAAAAAAAAAAAATGGTGGCAGGAAACTTTATGTCATAGGAATTCTGTTTTTTTGTTTTTTGGTTTTTGTTTTTAATTTTCAGGCTGGGTGCGGTGGCTCACACCTGTAATCCCAGCACTTTGGGAGGCCGAGGTGGGCAGATCACTTGAAACCAGCAGTTTGAGACCAGCCTGGACAATACCCCATCTCTACTAAAAATACAAAAAAAAATACCGGGGTGTGGTGGTGCACGCCTGTAATCCCAGCTACTCAGGAGGCCAAGGTGGGAGAATCGCTTGAACCCGGGAGCCAGAAGTTGCAGTGAGCCAAGATCACGCCACTGCACTCCAGCCTGGGTGACAGAGTGACCCTGTCTCAAAAAAATATAAAAAATAAAAATTAAAAAATAAATGGTCAGACAACAACCCTGATAGTGACAAAGGAAAACACAGGGCAGTGTTCTTAGCAACAAGGTTTCATAGCAACCCAAAGATGTCATGAAAAATGGTATTTAACCTCCTCCTAATCATAGATCCTATCTGTGGAGAGGAATCTACAGACCCTCCACTGATTCCAGCTTCCTATTTTATAGTTGAGGGGACTGAGGCTGTAGGAGGGAATGACAAGGTCACAGCCCTACAATCAGGGGCAGAACAGGGAGAATACAGAGCCTCTGCTAACTAGTGCTGTCACTTACCCTTTATTGTAAGGATCATTGGCCAAGGGCATTTTTATGATTGGTTTTTGAGCTGAATCTACTTAATACAGGTGGTGGTCCATCTTGGACTCTTTTGTGTTGCCTCACACATGCTCTCTGTACAGAGGGAGAGCCAAACACACTTTAAAGTGACTGGTCGTTGAGAAGTGCCTTGTAGATCACAGTTCCTGGCCTTTGGACCACACTCAGCTCAGTCTCCTTTGGGTGCCATTCCCTCCTCCACTGTCTCTCAGTCAGTGCGGCCGTACCTGTGCCGAGACTCAGTGGAGCGAGAGGGACCTTGTCAGGGAAGGATGCAAGGGTGTCCCGAAATGAAAATGGTTGGGAACCCCCTCAAAGCATTCTTTAGTGGGTCTGTGCTCTGCGTTCCTGCTGTTGACATCTGCTCCTTTGCAGCTGCCGCAGAGGTGCTGTGCTCCTGAATTGTCAAGAATCCTGGCTGGACACCAGTTATCCTCTGCCTCCTTAAAATCATGGCAGGAGGACCAGGGAGTCAGCATTCGTGTTAGGAACCCTGAAAGGGGAGGGTCTTAAGAGGTTGCTGCCACTTAGGAAGGTTGCGTTGTGCTTTGCTTCCCTGAGTGCTAGAAAAGCTCGCCTTTCTGTCATGCTGAACTGTAACGCCAATGAAAACCTCAGAGTGCTCTGCCAATGTTTAAATGACCAAATTGAAGGCATCAGGGCCACTTTCAGGGGTTCCTATGTTTCCTCCTCCTGATTAGGATTTGCCAGGCTCCCCTCCTCCTTCATCCTATTACTTAATACATCTGCGCCCTGCTACTGTCTTGTTCTGTTCTAAAGGTAAACCCTCAGTAGGGCTTACTCAGGGGAGGCTGTAGTGAGAGGTGACAGCCCTCACAGCCCTCGCTTGCTGTCCACGCCTCCTCTGCCTGGGCTCCCACTTTGGCAGCACTTGAGGAGCCCTTCAGCCCGTCTCTGCACTCTGGGAGCCCCTTTCTGAGCTGGCCAAGGCCGGAGCCGGCTCCCTCAGCTTGAAGGGAGGTGTGGAGGGAGAGGCGCGAGTGGCAACCGAGGATGCGCGAGGCGCTTGCGGGCCAGCTGGAGTTCCGGGTGGGTGTGGGCTTGGCAGGCCCTGCACTCGGAGCGGCCGGCTGGCCCTGCCGGCCTCAGGCAATGAGAGGCTTAGCACCCGGGCCAGCAGCTGCGGAGGGTGTGCTGGGTCCTCCAGCAGTGCCAGCCCACTGGCGCTGCGCTGGATTTCTGGCTGGGCCTTAGCTGCCTCCCTGCGGGGCAGGGCTCGGGACCTGCCGCCCGCCATGGCTGAGCTTCCCCGCCCCCTCCACGGGCTCCTGTGCGGCGGGAGCCTCCCTAATGAGCGCCGCCCCCTGCTCCAAGGCCCCCAGTCCCGTCAACCATGCAAGGGCTGAGGAGTGCAGGCGCAGGGCGTGGGACTGGTGGGCAGCTCCATCTGCAGCCCCAGTGCGGATCCACTGGATGAAGCCAGCTGGGCTCCTCAGTCTGGTGGGGACGTGGAGAACCTTTATGTCTAACTCAGGGATTGTAAATACACCAATGGGCACTCTGTATCTAGCTCAAGGTTTGTAAACACACCAACCAGCATCCTGTGTCTAGCTCAGGTTTTGTGAATGCACCAATCCACACTCTGTATCTAGCTAATCTGGTGGGGACGTGGAGAACCTTTGTGTCTAGCTCAGGGATTGTAAACACACCAATCAGCGCCCTGACAAAACAGACCACTCACTCTACCAATCAGCAGGATATGGGTGGGGCCAGATAAGAGAATAAAAGCAGGCTGCCGGAGCCAGCAGTGGCAAACCCTTCTGGCTCCTTTTCTTTGGGAGGGTGATTTGTTGTTTCGCTCTTTGCAATAGATTCTGTTGCTGCTCGGTCTTTAGGCCCACACTGCTTTTATGAGCTGTGCTATTTGCCGGGAAGGTCTATAGCTTCATTTTTGAGCTAGCGCAGACCCCAACCCCACCAGAAGGAAAAAGCCTCAGCCGCGCCACCTTATAGAGCTGTTACACTCACAGTGAGAGTCTATGGCTTCATTCTTGAAGTCAGTGAGACCAAGAACCCACCAGTTCCGAACACAGTAGCAGTTCCTTAGTTAATAGGCAATGAAGAATCCCACTGCACAGTGATCCATGAACAAAATGGGGAATGATAACTTTTTTTCCCACGTTTTTACTTTTTTGACAGCTAATCATTCAGCGTCTATCATGTGCTGTGCACTTTGGATCAACATAGAACCAGCCCTGGGCCTGTTCCAGCATAGCCCACAAAGACAGGCAGCTTCAGTACCTCTGTCTCCTGTGCCTGTCCTGGAAATGTGCTGTCATTCGGTGATTAGTCTGGCAGAATATGTACTCTGGAAATCTAATGTGCAGCAGCATGGTGCGGGTGGAGTTTTAGACGACTTCCATAACACGGGGACTTCTTTCCTTGAAGCTGTCTAGTGTAGGAGCTTCAGTCTGTTCTGAGGCTTTTTCCTGATGTATAAGCACAGGGAGTGTCAGAGTGTGGAGAGCTTCAAGTACAGACCAGACACCTGAGGGGGTATCATAGAGGAGTCATAGCATTAAGTACAAGATTAGGTAACTTGCTTTCTAAGATACTGCCCAATTTTTTTTTTTTTTTTTTTTTTTTTTTTTTTTTTTTTGTGAGACGGAGTCTCCCTCTGTTGCCCAGGTTGGAGTGCAGTGGCATGATCTCGGCTCACTGCAACCTCCACCTCCGGGGTTCAAGCGATTTCCGGCTAATTTTTGTATTTTTAGTAGAAATGGGGTTTTATCATGTTGGCCAGGCTGGTCTTGAACTCCTGATCTCAAGTGATTCACCTGCCTCAGCCTCCCAAAGTGCTAGGATTACAGGGCTGAGCCACTGTGCCTGGCAGAATACTCCCCAATCTTAATGTTTCTGTGATTCTAAGAGAGTTAGATCTGAGGAAGGTGGTCGTAGTTAGCCATTAAAAGCCATTCAGCATGGTCCAGTATATGGGACACTAGCCTTCAGTAGGCTGCATTTGTTTCTCGCAGTGTCCCATGGCCCTTTCTCCCTGCATGGAAGCCTTCTCCCTTTTTCCAGGAGGAGACAGGCGAGAGAGGTCCAGCCTTTCTCTTGACTATAGCTGGGCGGGGAGGGAGGTGAACTGGGCAAGCACTGGGATTTTTTGAGAGCCTTTTCCCCTGAGCTGTTTTCTCTGCTACTCGCTTTCATCCCCACCGTTGGCATTTAGGAGCTGGAGCAGATTTTGTCATGCTGGGAGGAATGTTTTCGGGTCATACGGAGTGTGCTGGAGAAGTGTTTGAGAGGAACGGACGGAAGCTCAAGCTCTTCTACGGGATGAGCTCTGACACCGCCATGAACAAGCACGCAGGAGGAGTTGCTGAGTACAGGTGAGGAGGTGACCCCGGGGCGCACCCTCGAGGCCTGGCCTTGCTTTTCTTACGGAGATGGGATGGAAGCAGGTCTGAATAGCAGCTCTGTGTATATTAAAGTACCGTGGGAAGGGGTTCTTTTTAAAGACCCCTAATTTGTATCCAGTTAGCATTTGCAGTGTTTGGGGTTCCCAAAAGCAAGTACAGAGCAGCAGTGTTTGGTGATGGGTTGGAAGTGTGACCAGGGTTATATGTGAGTGGGTGCCAGTCCTGAAGGGAATACTTCAGACCTCTGGGGGTAGGTGGAATTATTGTCTTGTCCTTCCAGTAGAGCCTGTGCTGAGCTATCCCTGTAAGCTTAGATCTCTGGCTTGAGAAGAGTTCAGGCTGAAAGGATTGAGTTGAAGAATGGCTCTCCTCTTGCACAGAAAGCCATAGGTGTGGTCTAGACCACTGCACGGTGGCCAGGCCTTTCCTGAAGAATGCTGCATACAGCTCATACCGCTTCTCACCTTCCTCCAGGCTCCGAGAGCCGACACAGCAGCATTTTCAGCCATTCAGTTGTGTCATCCACTGTAGAAGTGGGGCTTACTTCTGCTGATGTGTGTTTATTTTTTATTTTTTATTTTTATTTTTTTGTGGTGGAGTCGTGCTCTGTCGCCCAGGCTGGAGTGCAGTGGTGTGATGTCAGCTCACTGTAACCTCTGCCTCCCGGGTTCAAGTGATTATCCTGCCTCAGCCTCCCGAATAACTGGGATTACAGGTACCCCCCATCATGTCCAGCTATTTTTTGTATTTTTAGTAAAGATGGGGTTTCGTCATGTTGGCCAGGCTGGTCTCGAACTCCTGACTTCCAGTGATCCACCCACCTCGACCTCCCAAAGTGCTGGGATTATAGGCATGAGCCACCGCACCTGGCTCCTGATGCATGTTTTTAATCCATGGTCTCCAAAGACACCTGGGTCTTTTCCTGATTCCCTTCCATTTTAACTGTCTGCATGTGTGTTTTAAGAACCTGATGATGGGGCCAGGCACAGTGGCTCATGCTTGTAATCCCAGTGCTTCCAGCAGCCAAGGTTGGAGGACTGCTTGAGACCGGGAGTTCCAGATGAGCCTAGGCAACATAGCAAGACCCTGTCTCTACAAAAAAATTAAAAATTAGCTGGGTGTGGTGTCACATGACTGTACTCCCAGCAGCTCAGGAGGCTGAGGCAGGAAGATGGCTTAAGCCCAGGAGTTGGAGGCTGCAGTGAGCTATGATCGTGCCACTGTGCTCCAGCCTGGGCAACAGAGTGATACCCTGCCAAAAAAAAAAAAAAAGAACCTGATGACAGTATACTCGCTGCCTCACCCTGCTCCATAGAGCCTACTGTTACTCTCATCAGGGTTAGCGCCGATGACAAGCTATACAAAATGGGTACAGGAGCAAAGGTTCTCCATCTGCAGAGGGAAGTTGCCTGTGAATCGGCTGGTTGCCTTTTTCCAGGAAAGTTCAGGCTTCTCCCTCCAATTTTCAGACTCTATCCGGTGCTGGAGTGGAAACCTAAGCCCTCCCTGACTGACACCCTTTATTTCCTACCACTCATTCCACACCCAGAGGGTCATTTTGAGGACCTGGGATTCAGATGTATTATATAAGGTTCATACCAAGCTAGCAGCAAAATCTCAGAACTCCACTGAGATTTGTAGGTGGGGGGATTGGGGGGAGTGGGGTGTATTCTACCAGAGTTCTATTCATCCGTGGGGTTCTAGCGGACTTACTTCAGTTCTCATTCTCCTCAAGTCTCTTTCTCTTGGTGGTGAACCCCAATAAAGATATTATAGTATGGGAAAAGCAGGATGGGAAAGATCGATGGGGACTGCACCAATCAGAAATGAGGGATTCACTCCTTCCAGGTAGCCCCCGAGGCCCTCTTTCCCCCAAGCGGTCCCTGATAGAGGAGGAGGTTGCATGGTTGGGTAAGGAGGAGGCACTAAGCTGGACCTATGTTCAAGAAGCTTCGTGCTTTACCAGCAACTGTTGTCATCATCCAAGGGCCTGCACATGTGTCCTCTGTGCCAGAATGTAAGTGGAGCTTTCATGGGTGAGCAGCAGCTAGGTGCTTTGCCTGGAGTACCTTTTTCACCCTCGTGGCTGCATCTGTTTTGGGTTCTTTAAAAAATTATAGAATCAAGAAGACCAGAGCAGGCTATGGCACAAACAGAAACCAAAGAGCTGAAAGAAAAAACGTCTTCTGTAATTTCAGCAGGGTTTAGGTATAATAGAAAAAAAAAGATTCAGCAGTAGCAAGACTCAGTTCTGAAAGTGGATTCAAATCTTTAACAGGGAAGGAAATTGCTGAGGAAATTAGAACCTTAATCCAAAGGCTTCAGCCTGAGCCTTGCGGCTGCACCTGTCTTACCTCTGTCTGAGTCTCTCTCTCTCTCTCTCTCTCTTAGTTTTCAGCCCGTGACCATGATCTTGTCATGAGAATGCTTCCCGACTTTGACAAATTACTTATGGCACAGTTATGTACACATTGCTGGTTCTTTCCCAATCATTATTTCATTCTCACGCTGTGCCCGGGAGGCAAAGTACCTTCATTTTACGGATGAGCAGACTTAAGCATCAGCAAAAAAGGAATTTGTAAAAGGCGACACCACCACTTAGCAGAGAAGCAACAGTGAGAATCTAGAAATTTCCAAGAAGCCCCAGGAAGGCCATGGAAATATCTTACGAAAATGAAATGTCAGTAATTGCAGGCACAAGTGTACAGACGCCTGTCTGGGGTCACGGAGTGCTGAGCCCTGAACCATCCTGGGTATGGCCAATGACTGGCTTCCTGAGCTTGGGGCTCTAAACCGGCTGATGGTTTAAGTAGCTGGATTTTACCCAAGGGTAGTCCTGCCTGTTCAGCAACCAAGAGTTAAGCCCCTTTTGAAATTCTAGATAATGAATGTCTGGTCAAGAGATGCTCTTCAAGGCAGGTGGATCACCTAAGGCCAGGAGTTCGAGACCAGCCTGGCCAACATGGTGAAACCCCATCTCTACTAAAAATACTAAAATTAGCTGGGAGTGGTGGCAGGCACCTGTAATCCCAGCTACTCAGGAGGCTGAGGCAGGAGAATTGCTTGAACCCAGGAGGCAGAGGTTGCAGTGAGCTGAGATTGCACCATTGCACTCCAGTCTGGGTGACAAAGGCAAAACTCCATCTCAAAAAAAGATGCTCTTTTTCCAGCTGAAAAGAACAGCTACAGAAAGTTCCAGAATTTGGGTACTTGTTAGAACTTGCATGGCCCTTAGATGAGAGCTAGAGTTTTGCCTAGATTTCAGATTTCCTTCTGGTAATACACACATCTGGTAATATACACATGTGTAATATACACATATTCTGGTAATATATACATGTGTCTGGACCACATCCCCATTTTGCAGTGAGGGGACATGACCTGTGTTACCCAAGTAACAATCAAGCAGTGTTACCTGGTGGCTTTGTGAAGAGAGGGACATGGGCTCAGTGGGGACAGTGAAATGTTGCTTAGTGTTCATGCCATAGGCCAGACTTGAGTTTCTAAATACTCCTCTGAAAATGTGAACGTTGCTATCCAAAGCCTGGAAGCCTCTGGTGCTAAGACAGGTCTTGGTTCTCCTCTGATTCCACCTTGCTTGGACCCACACATGTGCAGGGTGATAGGTGTAGTGACCTGTAAGAGAACAGGGAGTCGAACTGGGGGTGGCCAGTGTACCCAGCAAAGCAGAAAGACAGGCAGGCTATCAAAACAGAGCCACTTCAATGAAATCACCTTGCTGGTGATTTCCACGTAAGCTGGTAGGACCTGCGCTATCCATTTTATGTCCTCCTCGTCCTGGTCGTCCCCCTTGAAGACACTTGATTTCTGATCTTAGACCAGACAGGCGGGAGGTGAAGCTCTGGACTTTTCCTGTTGTTGACGTAGGAGGACAGGAGGCTGTTTCCAGGGGGGAATCGGCCAGGGCCATTCTGGGGGCATTTTGGGCTCCTGGTTGTTGGGAAGTTGGTGTGCATGTTGAGGTAGAATAGAAAGGTAAAGGTGGTTTCTGTTAGCAGCAGAGGGGAGCACGTTGCTGGAGAGAATGGCACCAAGCAGGGTGTTATGGGTCCCTGACTCCTTCAAGCGCTGCTCACCAGGACTTTCCTCTCCGCAACATGCAGGGCAGCCAGCAATGAGCCCGTGCCCTTTGGGCGGGAGGAATGTGTTCATCTGAGATGCTGGTGATCATCTTGGCACTTGGTAGAAATGTGGGGATGGGGTCAGAGGGTGGGGTCTGGTTTTCTGAGTGCCTTGGGGGCTACAGAAAGTGCTGGAGCTGGGAGTAATTCTAATTGGGCTCTTAAGGTGGGGCGGGAAACTAGATAAAAAGAAAACTTCTATCGTCTTCCAGAGCCTCTGAGGGTAAGACTGTGGAAGTTCCTTACAAAGGAGATGTGGAAAACACTATCCTGGATATTCTCGGGGGACTGAGGTCCACGTGCACCTACGTGGGGGCCGCCAAACTCAAGGAGCTCAGCAGGAGGGCAACATTCATCCGGGTGACCCAGCAGCACAACACCGTGTTCAGCTAACCCTGGGGACAAAGCAGCGTCTGGCTCGAGTGGAAGCGTCCAAACCTGCTTTTCCCATCTCCCCCCAAGTCTGTTCCGTCAGAGCTTCTGGCTGCTCCTGAATGGTGGAATGCTGTGTCCTCTCTTCTGTCTCCTGCTGCCTGGAGGCTTCGGGGCTCTCCCGCCTGCCTTCTCGGGGCCCAGACGCAAGGCACCGATTGGGCCAACATCAGAGCCCTGCTGCCCAGAACTCATAACCTCATTGTTCAAACCAACACTTGCACCTTTCTCTTTTTCTCTTTCTCTCTCCCTTTCTTTGTTTTTCTTTCTTTTTTAAAAGAAGATGGTTTCACTTTAATATAATGCTATTATCTTAAGACTTAATGGAGTTGCTGGAGTTTGTATTTCCAGGAGTCAAGTTGAATGGTTTGGGATTTGTTTTGCTACCTTCCTAGACAGGCTGATGGCAAGCCTCTCCCGGCGATTAGCAGACAAGTCACCTTAGGAGGGGCAAGGAGAGGAGGACAGTGCGGGGGCCAAGGGTGGACAGGCCGGAGTCAAAGTAACTGGCATCCCTCACCTCTAGCTTTTGGTTGCTGCAAAAGAACAAAAGCAATTAACTGGACAGATGAACATGAATTGTTTTCCCAGCTGATACTCACAAAGTTGAGCCAATGTGTTTTCCCCGAGTTTCATTACATGTGCTTTTCAGGGACAAGTCATCTGTCGCTACCAGTTTGCTGTTGCCTCTAGGAAGCTGTCCCTGTCCTGGCTTCTCATTTCGTTTTGTTTTCCTCCATCTTTTTTTTCCCCCTTCTCAGTCCCAACTTGTCTTAATTTGAAATTCCACAGGATGTTTTATGGGAAGGTTGTCTCCCAAGAAATTAGCAGGTGGAGTCACACTGAAAAAGAGCCAAAGCTTTGATCAGTGGCATCCTAAAAGGCATTGGTTTGAGACATGAGTTAGAGCCATTCCCTCAGTGTGCCAGTGAATCCTTTCTCGGAAGGACCACATGGCACTACTGTATAAGGGTCAGTTAACGGGTTGGGAACAATGACATTGTCTTGGAGAATTGGCCTCTGCAGCTGACCTGCAGCAGTCCACCAGGATGCTTGTTTAAACAGTGAACGCAGAAGAAGTGATGACCGGCCGCTAAACTTTGAAGTATTGAGTTCCAGGCCTGGAAAGCGTATGCAGATCAGGTTGTTTTACTTTGCTTTTTAATAAGGCTGAAGAGCAGATACACAAGTCAGTTTTCTTTGGAAAGGCAAGCAATGACCCTGGAGTAGAGAAGATCCACAGGGTGCTGCTGTGCCAGGGTGAATGAATGGCCTGATTGTCCACAGTGACCGATGGCATGAGAAGGGTCCAACCAGAGCTGTCACACTCTGGGATAATACAGGCCCACTGTTGGTCCTTTAAGATTATGTTTAGAGATCCAGCCAGCAGCATTGTCTCCATTGTAATACTTTCCCCTACTAAATCCATTAAGAGTTTTTTTTTTTTTTTTTTTTTTTTTTTTTTAATTTGAGACAGGGTCTCTGTTGCCCAGGCTGGAGTGCAGTGGCAGGATCACAGCTCACCACAGCCTTGACCTCCCGGGCTCAGGTGATCCTCTGACCTCAGTCTCCCAAGTAGCTGGGACTACAGACACCTGCTACCACGCCCAGCTAATTTTTGTATTTTTTATAGAGACAGGGTCTCACCATGTTGCCCAGACTGGTCTCAAACTCCAGGGCTCAAGCCATCCACCTGCGTCAACCTCCCCAAAGTGCTAGGATTACAGGTGTGAGCCACTGTGCCCGGCCCATTAAGAATAACTCTTGCACCTGTAGAAACACAAGGGCTGCACTTTGGAGACGGGAGGGCCAAGAGGCGATTTAACGTGGAGCAAGACATGGGGCTTGGCTGCAGGCTCCCCGCCTTGCTCTCTGTGGTCTTCCAGCTGCTTGTAACTGAGTAGTTACAAAATCAAAAACTCGTTAGGACCATTTTGAAGCAGAGCCTTCAGAAAGAGAATGTCTTTTTTTTTTTTTTTTTTCCTGAGACCAAGTCTTGCTCTGTCACCCAGGCAGAGTGCAGTGGCACAATCTCGGCTCACTGCAACCTCCGCCTCCCAGGTTCAAGTGATTCTCGTGCCTCAGCCTTCAGAGTAGCCGGGATTACAGGTGCCCGCCACGTCTGGCTAATGTTTATGTTTTTAGTAGAGATGGGTTTTTGCCATGTTACCCAGGCTGGTCTCAAACTCCTGGGCTCGGGTGATCCACCCACCTCAGCCTCCCAAAGTGCTGGGATTACAGGTGTGAGCCACCGCGCCTGGCCCATAAAGAGAACTTGTAAGGCTCCGTCACCGTTTGCCTTAGCAGGTTCATCTCTGCCTCTGATAGGAGTGGGGCTGGGGGAGCCCACACCAGAGTGTCCCTTGGACCGGGTGTCCCACAGGACCTGGAGATGAAGCATGCAGCTTTGCTGCTGACCCACTGGGCTTCCTGTGCCAGAGCTGGGGGAGGAGGAGGACAGCCAGTGAACTCGACGCCATTTGCCTTGGGCCACTCTGGCCGTTCCATCTGAGGGCTCTGGCAGTGCTTTTGATGGTTTCAAGTCCTGCCCCGCTGCAGCACCTGAAGGTATGGTTCCCCCTAATTGATTTCACCAGCTGAGGTAAGTAACACAGCCACTGGACCCCAAACTTGTCAGAACAATCAGTATCTCACACAAACAAAAAGGGAAGGCAGAGATGCAGACTGCTTTGCCGAGTTTGCCCACAGCACACAGGCACATTTGCCCGGGCTACTCCACAGGACCTGGGGCAGCCCTTGTAGCCTGAGTTGCACCTACACAGCTCTGGTTTGCTGTGTGTCCTTTCACATATTTATTATATAATGTGTCAGGACCTCAACTAAATAATCAGAGGAGAGTCCAAAACACCTTCCCAAGAAGATAGTTCCTCCTTGGCTAAGTGAAAATGAATTTAACCCCAAGCGTTCTCCCACCTCTGTGTAACCTTGAGGCTGGAAGGTCTTGAGGTGGGTTGAGGTGGGTTGAGGTGGGTGCAGGGGATTCCACCTGGAAGCTATGGGTTCTTGAGGAATTACTTTTTCTGGCACAACTGCTAAGCCATATCTTTCCAAGACTGGGCCCAGTGCAAAGCTGTAATGTGGTACTCTTGAGGTAAACGGGGAGTTCCTCCACATGCTGAGAGACCTGCTCGAGGAGTTGGGTTTTTTTTTTGTTTTTGAGGCAGAGTTTTGCTCTGTCGCCCAGGCTGGAGTGCAGCGGTATGATTATGGCTCACTGCAGCCTCGACCTCCTGGCCCCAGGCGATCCTCCCACCTCAGTCCCCTAAGTAGCTGGGACCATAGGTATGTGCCACCACACCCGGCTAATTTCATTTTTTGTAGAGATGAGGTCTTACTATGTTGACTAGGCTGGTCTCGAACTCCTGGGCTCAAGCAGGCCTTGTGCCTCGGCCTCCCCAACTGTTGGGATTATGGGCGTGAGCCACTGTGCCCGGTCTGCTCGCTGAATTTCTAATGAGCTTGAATTACAGGAAGTAAAAATAAATTTTCCACTTACAGACCACTAACCAGTTTAGAGCAAATCTGTAAGGAGTGTATAGATTATGCCACACGAGCGCATGAAGCTACCACATGTTTAAAGACAAGTATACCTCTTGTGAACAGCAGTGTTCAGCTAGGAGGCATAAACATGAACTGAAGAAACCAAGACATCAGGTGTGGCTGTGTGCCTTTTATCTTAGAACCTCATCTCACACGTACTCTTCCCCCCAAAACATTAGCAGCGAAGGCAATGCCTCATGTCACACCTCCCTACCTCCGACCTACCCAGGGAGAACTCGTGAGCGGGGGTCAATAAGGAGGAGGAATTAGCACTCTTTTCCTGGCCTCTTCCTTGAGGACCCAACAGAAGGCAAAGACACACATCTGCAATTGGCACTGTTATTTTATTAGTACGAGTATACTGAAACAATAAACTTGTACTGGTATACAGACAATTTATTTAAAACAATTTTGTTCAAATTTTGAATCAAACATTGTTTTATTATAATAATGAAATAATTTCTACCTAGAAAACCTGCAAGCACCATCAAAGAAAGGGACCATAAAATTCAATAAACAGACTCGAGTGTATCCTACAAATAGACACACCACGATTAGAAAATAGAATATGAATTCTTCCATTTTTTAATATTTGTTTAAAAAAGCTAGTGCAAGTACAATATTTTACACTGGAATTACAGAGAGTATGCACGCATATGGAAAAAAGTTCTCCTGTCACAATAAAAGCTCTTAACTATTATGTATGCACTTAAAATTTTCTTTTCAATAAGGTGCAAAACATCATTCCTTCCCTAGTTCTCCTCTGTACTGGCCATGTCAGTCTGGTAGTGCCCTCAACCCAAGTTCTGGTGTCTGTTTTCCCTTGGCCTGTGGGAGGCATATGGTGGGTAATGATCTGATATTAAAACATCCAGTAGTACGAGTCTCAGAGATGGCTCTGGAGCCAGGACTCCACTGGCTGGAAATGAAGACTGTCTAATCTGAAGGTCACCACAAATACTGACAGGACTATCTTGAAACCTCCTTTCGGCTGACACTAATTTGGGTTTAGAGTTGAGCAGTTCAGGCTGGGGAGATGAGGAAACCCCGCCAAAAAGGGCAGTATTCACAGAACTGAATGCACAGGTATCAAGTTCAAATGCACTAACTAAAGGATTTACCCCACTCCTGGGCCAGAAAACTGAAAGAGTAGGTGGTTCCTGTAAGAACCAGAGAAAACCTGTGCACCGAGCTTCTTGGTAACTGCTCTGAAGACAACAGCTTGAGCTAGTGTCACCTAATACTTGGTATTCTGGAGGACAGTATGTTATCTTGGTAAGGATTACTGTAAACAACACTTCCAACGAAGGCCTTCAGATTGGCCACAGAAAAGGAGACAGGCTCATTGGCCATCCAGACAGCAAACAAACTAAAGGGAAAGAAAACGTGGGTGAAGCCTCCAATGTATCTGCAGTGGAAGACTTGAGTCCTTTCAGATAAGAAAAGTTATGGAAATTCTTAGAGATTGTTGTTATTGTATAGATACTACCTATTGGCCAAATGCACTTAATTTTAATACAGTTGAACCATTTGTATGCAAGTCATGGGGACATGAAAAACTGAAGCCGGTGTTCCCTCCCGCCATTACACAGGAGAAAGTTAGCTACCAGAACAGTTGCCTTCAACGAGAAGGGAGGGGACGAGATTCTGAATTTAAGAATTGTAAGTGGGGGTGCTTAATATCCCCACAGCTGTCCAGTTTCCACTGTCCGGCTTGATTTTTGGACAGGAATACTATTCTGAGAAGATGCTCCGTATTTATTCTGGCCTCTTTATATTAAATAAAAATCAAAATAAAACTAAAATAAAATGAGGCATTTACATTGAAATCATGTTTTTACTCCCCCCATTTAAATGAGGTGTGGGGGGAAAGAAGGTGAAATAATTTTTTTTTTTGTCCCCATAATGAGTCCTGTTTGATTGGTAGCCTGGATCCCTTGTTACAAACACTTCGTGTTCAAGATTATATTCTTTGGGTTTATAGGAACAGGAAGTGCTGAAAATGTCAAACATCATCTCTGAAGAAAAAGAAGTTGCAATGGCTTAAGAGTTTAGACTAAGAAGGGAGCTCAGAGAAGTACTTTCAGCATAGGAATGAACAGTATTCTCAAATCGCAGAATACCGAGTTCCCCTCCCTCAGACGAGGGCTATATGTAACAAAAATAACAATAAGCATAGGTATAGTTTAAGAGCCTTTTACGTAGTAATTCTTCCAGGCCATAACCATACAAATCTGATCATTTAGACATGACAAATTTCTATATACAAAAAAACATGTAACTTTCAACCCTTCTCTGCTTTTTTTTTTTTACAAACAAAGTATGAAACTCATTGTTTCAACAGAGCCATATCTTTCAAACACTGAATGAATCATTTCGACATTCATTTTTCTTTTGTGCAATTTTTTAAAACATTACCTGTACTCCTCAAAGTGAGTGCTTCAAAATTTTGTTTTCTTCAGCTTCTCAAATCAGGTGTACATTTAAAAAAAAATTCCCACAAGGTATAGTGCTACAAGAAAAGATCCTATCATCAGTAAGGTAACGTATTTGAAGCGAGGTCATCTATGTAAAAGAAATCTCAGCTCCGGAGTAGAGGTGTGCAAGTTGTTTGGAGTTTCCCTATGCCAGAAACACAACACTGTCCGTGGAAAAGAGAGGAAACCAACCCAACACAATAGCAGATGCATGTGCTTTATAAAAAAGTATATTCTCTGTATATTTATTACTTGATGTGTTCTTAAATTCTCTATTTCAGAAATTCTGGGTTAAAAACAAATGTGGAAGCAAAGGCCTCCACGCCACTTAAAAAAAAAAAAAGTGTAATTCTCTCCTTTCACATCACCACCGAAGAAACCGAATTGGGCCATGGAGTCTGCTGGCCCTGTTTTCACCTGGTGCAAATTGAAGTGCAAAGGGTTTCAGAAGGCAACAGACCAGTCTGTTGAGCTGCTTGTGGTTCATGAAACAGTAGCCATGACAACCAACACAGCTCAAGAAGCCCGGCCTTCGGTACCGAGAGCTCTGCTTCCTCACCCATATCTGAAATAGCACGGTATTAGTGTCTTCAAAAGCATTGGAGATTTTTCTCTCTATGAAAGAAATAGGTTTCCTTAGTAGTCACAGATGTTAAAGGGTATTGTCAATCGTTTCCTTAAAAAACAAAACAAAACAAAATCCAGAGCTACAACAACAAAAATAAATTTTGGCAACATATTTCAGTAAAGATCAAACTGTGCAAAGAGTGGATTTTATGATTACTAGGAGCTACTGTTCATCTTGAACATGCAGCATTATATTGCAATCTATGCGGTATCTAAGGAGTAATCCACAAGATGCAGGAAATCCAAACATTCCTTGAAATTGTACAACCCTACTCCAGAGCAGTCAAAGTGCTGCTTCTGGACACGTCAGTGTACCACACACACACCTGCCCCGTCCCTGAGAAAGAGGTGTGAAAGGTTCCGCAGAGTCCCTTTAGGGGAGAAGGAGGGATGCTGCCACTTCCTGGTGGGGGGAAAAAACCCAACACACTCACCTAACAGAAAACATAGAGGCTCACAATTCCAAGTTAGAAATGGGATCAACAACAACAGAAATCAAATCATCCCAAACTAAACTGGGTGAGTTAGGGAAAACGAAAAGTTGACCAACATAGAAAATTATCCTGAAAGTCCAAATGAAAATTCAATTTGGATTTCCACTTTAAAAGATCTGAGGTAAGTGGCATCCATCTCTGTATCCCTCCCTCCCCCCTCTGCCCCAGTGTGGCCCAGACAAACTGAAATAATTCTTAAGTTAAACATTCTAAGGAACAGTCATTTTATATATTTAGAAATCCCTAGAAAGAGAGGTTCTTGTTTGTTGGTTTCTTATTAATAGTATTATTTTTTTCTTTTCGCCCTGACTAATTTCTTGGTGATTGTGTTCCATTGTAAACGCAAAAGGCCTGCTGTTACTAGTTTAAAAATGGAAAACAGGAAAGAAAGAACAAAAGACGGCTGTCGGTAAATATTGCAAAGTGGACATAGTACAGAGGCACATGGCTGATCCTTGTAAGCTGAACGGCACCGAAGAATTTCTACCCCTGTCATCGTTAATGTTTGCTACACAGAAGCGGTGACAGAGGCTGCTCTGGGAGCCTCGGGGCCCGCCAACGTCTGCAAACAGGAGGCTCCTGCCCTCTGTGCGTTCTTCCTATTTGAAGAGAAAGCTGCCACAAGGGAGTGGTGACCGTGGGTGGCAGGTGGTCCCCTCCACAGCCACTGGCCAACACGCTCAGAACGCACACACACAACAGGCCACACTTCCCGTCCAGGCTCAGAGGCAGGGCTCCAAGTCTCAAGGACACAGACCCCGAGGAGGGGCCTGCCCACTTGCAGAAAAGACCGTGGAAAATGGGTTGACTCCAGGCTACATGGCTCCAGAGTGCGTCTTAGAAATGAATCTGCCTCCTTCCTCTCCACACTCCACATTCACTATTCCGTGTGGTGACAGGGGACACTGCGGTTCCTCCCCCGGGTCTCCTTGGCTGGCTCTTTCTGCAACGTGGCGGCAGACGCACGGGGCTCCTGAAGGCTCCCCGCCCCAGCACTCAGCATCCGCAGCAGGGGAAAGGTGGGAGGCTCTCTCCCTCCTGGCTCCTTCCCTCCAGCCCTGCTCTGGCCAGAATGGGGAAGATCAACCAAACAAGGAAAAAGCCAAAAGGGAATGAGCTTTAACTATATAGCACACTGGTCAGACTCTATTGGCACAGAAAGTATTGCACATGCTAAAAAAGCAAGAGAATGAAATGGGACAAGTGTTTAGAAAGAACCAATTATTTTATAATTCCTATACCTGAAATAGAACCACAAAAATTATGATGATGTTCCTATTGCTCCAAACCATGTGTGTTTTCCCATCTTAGTGTTGGTTTAGTGGATCCAGTCAATTCAATACTCGAAGTAAGCCAAAAGGTGGTGTGTGTTTTTCTGAGTCCACATGAGTTGTAAATAGTGATATTAATGAGAACAAAGTCTATGTGGCAGCCCGTATTCCTCTTACCATCAAAGGCTAAAAAACAAAAAGAAAAACAAAACCTAATAATTGCAAGTGCCCTGAGCAGAATATATGGAAGATTAAGCAAGTTCTCTGAACAGAAACGTTTAAAAAATACAGCACTAAATAAGCAGTATGACTGCAAGAATGAGCCCACCCAGCTCTCTGCAAGCATGCTGAGAGGGTAATGAAATTCGAGGAAAGTCAAGGAACTATTCTAGCTATTCTAAACCTATTCAAATGTTTTTGGTACACCCCAGAAAACGGTTTATAAAAATCATTAGTCCTGGTGAACCCTAAATGTAAATGAATACTAGACAGCCAAAATGTGGGTTGATACCAGATTTTTTTTTTAATTTGTGAAACGAAGAAAGTACTATTTTCAATGGGGTAAAAGAAAAGTCAGGTATTTGTTCAGTTTAGTTGCAGCCATCCAAGTAAGAATATTTAAAAATTTCTCCCTACTTATAAAACTTTTTTTTAAAGCACTTTAAAGATGCATTCAAAACCCACAAATGATATTTCGGATCTCTGGGAATGAAAGGTTTAAAAACTATGAAATACCCTTTCTGGGTTTGTACCAAACATTAAATCTCGATTTGATTTTGAATAGAAAAAAAAAAGCCATTCTGAAAATAACATTAATAACAACAATAATAAAGTAATTGTTTAAAAAAAATCTTGCTCACATATATAAATGTCTTTATGGAAAACTCTCTCAATGAATCTGAAGAAAATTCTCAGAGTTTCTAAGAGCCCGCTAAGACCTGGCTTTTTGTGACAGATGTGGTAAAAAGACCAAAATGAATTTTCAAAGGAACATAACCTTATAAAATGGCCTAGAGTTTAGGCAGGTTAGAAAGAAATTTTGCTACATTTATTTATGCTCGTTCAGTCCCCCAAACCTTTCCCACAATGTTATTGGATAAAAACTGCAGGAATATCACACAAGTTATAAACTCAATATGTGCAAATCGCAAGGTTCTTTAAAAGTTCATCTTAAAAAGAAAAACACTGGACAAAAATGAGTATTCTCTTCTCCATCCCTTTTCTCTCAGTTTCTCTGCCAACTCTGCATATGCCTTGAACTGATTCTCAGACATCAAAGTGAAAAGTGCCTCCCGTCAGGTAGTACTTGGTGGTCATTTATTGTCACATACTAGTTCATAATTCACATTCATCCCTTTAAACCACATTGAAACTTTCAATATCTTGCTCTTCAGCAATTCTGCAGAGCTGAAATGTAGTTACAGTGTTGAAAAAAAGAAAGCAACTTAGTTTTTTTTGTTTTTGTTTTTTCCCCAAAGAGTTTAAAGTGAGATACAGTACTTGTTGAATGAGAGACCAAGATGCTTGGTAATAAAGTGTGAACAGTATTTTTAAATGCTTAAAGATAGTAATATATGCTCATCTTCAAAATCTAATTCCTCATGTCACACTGGAATCTGAAAAAAAAAAAAAGTGGCACCCGAGTTGTCCATAGTCATGAACTATAAACAGTACTAGAGTTCAAAGACAAAAAGATTTCGCAAACTCAACGTGAAGAGCTTCTGTTGCTCTCACTGAAGGGCAGTTTGCATCTACCTCTTGGGAGTGAAGTCAATGCAATAACCTGATTGGTTTTCCTAACACTGCACAGAAACCAGCGTGGGTGTTCGCTCTCTCCCTCTCCCCCACCCCCAACCCCCCTTACCCCATGTGGGGCCATGACAGCAGGGGCTTCCCTGTCCACCACAACACCCTGGTGACATCGCTGCACTAGTAAAAAGCAGAAATGAAATCCCGCATGTGGCAGTTGCTCTTTAAAAAAAATATATATCAGTGCAGTCAGGCCCCATAGGGGGAAATATATATCTATACAATTAAAAGTTGCTTTTATTGTAAAATATGTTGGAGAGAAAAATGTTCTTTTAAATGGTTAACTTTCCAAATCTGCCATCTGACGCGTCTCCGCGATGCCCTGAAGCTGGGTTCCTGATGTTGATTTTGCACGTGGGAACCCCAGGAGGACACTGCTCTGAACCCCCCCGGCCCATGCCGATAGCAAGAGAGTGAGGCAGAGGGAGGCAGAGAAAAAGAGACCCTCACTCGCCGCCACAGCGCCTGTGCACCCCCACATGCGTGCAACCCTGCACCCCTGCAGGACCCTTCCCACGGGACTTTTCTCCTGACACTAGCGGGAGTCAGCGCCCCCGGCTGCTTCTGTGCCGCTAGAGAAGGCAGGCACTGTGAAGCCCCGTTCCTTTCTTCCCCGGGGATGCCTGGAGCCCTGACCGCTCCTGCTGTGCCCTTCCTCCCGCCCGCTCACTGACAGACACTCGTGGAAAAAGCATATGCACCAGTCTCCTGCGACACACCTGCTGTAACTCTAATGACAAGGTTAGAACAGAAACCTAAAATTAAGAAGATAACATGTAAATACTGTGTTATTTTAGCCTACAGTACAGTAATCTGGATACAAATGATAAGGGAGAGCCACGTTTCCTTTCCCCCACGCTGCCTCTACTTGCCTACATTAGACCGGCCTTCAATGCAAATCTTAACCTCCTGAGGAATTAGAGAAGGCTTAGGAAGAGTCAAAGGTGGTTCGTCTTCTGACTTCTCCAGTTTGCGGCTCTCTGGCGCCGACCACCTCCTCTTCCTCGTTGCCGCGGGCTTGCTGGGTTCTATTTTGGTGAGGAAGGGCGCTGCAGGCAATCCCATTTTCTCTGGAAACTTCAGTTCGCCATTCTCAGAGAGCATCTGGGCACTCCCCTGGTTGATTCCGTTTTCCTGCTCGGCATACCTGTGTCTGCTGCCCGCCAGGCCGTCGGCCTTTGAGTGCTTCAGCAGGACGCTGGCGGGATCCACGGGCTGGCCCTTTTTAACAGAGCCGTTCTTCAGGTTCTTGAGGGTAAGCGAGATGCAGACATCCCCAACTGAGAGTTTGGAACACGGCAAATCAAAGAGCTGGCTGGTTCTCTCCGGACAGCAGGATGACCAGCCCTGTCCAAACACAAAAAAAGGATACTCTACCAAAACTTCAACGCTGACCTGTGGAAACAGGGAGAGACAGAGAGAGGAAGAAGGAAGGGAACAAATGAAAACATTTTATTCTTGTTTGATTTTATGCACACACACAGGTATGAACTCACACAGACACACACAGGCTGAATGGGGGAAAATGACTCAGTTTGCAAACCTCCCTCTCCCCCAGCCACACACTATAAATGAGGCTCTTCTCTTTGGGTTGTACCTCTACTTGCCATAGGCAGAAGCCAGTGAAAAGGTCATCAATATTCAAAATATTCCATCAAGTGTTAGCTCTATAGCTGGTCTCTGTTAGAACCAGTCAATCGAACCCCAGTAATGACAGAGCACCCACTTAGCTTTCAGCACCAAGCTAGGCTCTGCAGGTGGCTCACAAGCCCAGCGCGGTCTTAGATTTTATGAGCTCAATGGACAACTGCTATTATCATACAGGACAGGACTAAACATGGATCAGAGTGAGACTGTGAGTTCCAAGAAGCAGGCACAGTGTGTTTATCACTGAGTCCCCAGCCCCTAAAAGGATGCTTGGTGGCTGGGCACAGTGGCTCATGCCTGTAATCCCAGCACTTTGGGACACCAAGGTGGGTGGATCATTTGAGGTCAGGAGTTCAAGACCAGCCTGGCCAACATGGGGAAACCCCGTCTCCACTAAAAATAAAAAAAAAAAATTAGCCATGCGTGGTGGCGGGCACCTGTAATCCCAGCTACTTGGGAGGCTGAAACACTAGAATCACTTGAACCCAGGAGGCAGATGTTGCAGCGAGCCGAGATCGTGCCACTGGGCGATCCAGCCTGGGCCACAGAGTGAGACTCCGTCTCAAAAAAAAAAAAAAAAAGTCAATTTCCAATGTCCTTTCTAGATGTAGTAGACTAGGTAATTTGGACCAACCCTCCTTCTGAGGACAACTAAAAACTCTGAACAAAAATATAAGCAAACAAATAAATTTAAAAACTCTGGACAAAATGTTTAAACTTTTTTTCTTATAGTACTGGACAGCAAATAAGATAGTAAAAAGGCCAGGCGCGGTGGCTCATGCCTGTAATCCCAGCACTTTGGGAGGCCAAGGCGCGTGGATCACCTGAGGTCAGGAGTTTGAGACCAGCCTGGCTACCATGGCAAAACCCCATCTCTACTAAAAATACAAAACTTAGCCAGGTGTGGTGGTGGGCCCCTATAATCCCAGCTACTCAGGAGGCTGAGGCAGGAGAATCGTTTGAGTCCGGGGGACGAAGGTTGCAGTGAGCCAAGATCGTGCCACTTTACTCTGAGACCAGCCTGGCCAGCATGGTGAAACCCTGTCCCTACTAAAAATACAAAAATTAGCCAGGTGTGGTGGCAGGCGCCTATAATCCCAGCTACTCAGGAGGCTGAGGCAAGAGAATCGCTTGAACCCGGGAGGCGGAGGCTGCAGTGAACCGAGATCATGCCACTTCACTCCAGCCTGGGCGACAGAGTGAAACTCCGTCACACACACACACACACACACACACACACACACACACACACACACACTTCCTGGGTTGGATCAGGAAAAGATGATGGCCCAGAGAGGTGAAGCTGGTGTTGGGGGCCTGTTTTCTCCTGAAGGCACTTGAACATTCCAAAGTGGAGCAGTTGGGAAACCAAGTGGGCTTTTGATAGTGTTAAGAGCATAGGGAACAGGTAATGGAGTTCAGGATACACCAAGGGAGGGTGTTCTCTGGTGAGCCCCATTCTTTTGAGTTGTGACCCCAAAGCACTGTCCCTTAGAGGAGACAGTGAACCACAAGCCAACAGGCCTTTCAAGGTCTGAAGCTCAGATTGACTCATCTGAGTCCCTAAAACTGGATTAAGGTCTTGAATTACTTTCACAATTTTGCAAATAAAAGCATTCAATTTAAAAAAGGGGGGTGGTGGTCATGAGGAGACCAGATAGCTTGTATAAGCACTAGCAAAATATCAGATCTTAAAAAAGGATGCACCAGGGCTTCTCATATAGAGTCATACATATAGACTTTACAAAGACTATGCTTACAATAATTAAGAAGATTAAAGACAGCTTGAGAATTTTGATAGGAAACTAGAATCTGTTTTTAAAAGATCCATGAAGCCAGGCATGGTGGCTCATGCCTGTAATCTCAGTACTTTGGGAGGCTGAGACAGGGAGGATCACTTGAGGCCAGGAGTTTCAGACCAGTCTGGGCAACAAAATGAGACCCCGTTTCTACAGAAATTTAAAAAAAAATAGCCTAGTGTGGTGATGCGTGCCTGTAGTCCCAACTACTCAGGAGGCTGAGGCAGGAGGATCTTGAGCCCAGGAGTTAGAGGTTGCAGTGAGCTATGATCACAAGACTGCACTCCAGCCTGGACAACAGAGTGAGACTCTGTCTCTAAAAAAAAAAAAAATAAATAATAATAATAATAATAATTAATTAATTAAAAAAGGTCTATGAGAATTGTAGAATTAAAATATACACCACTGAAATCAAGAATGCAATGAGCTTTCCAGTTGAATAGACATGGATTAAGAAAGAATTCAGGAACTGGATTCTCTAATTAGAGCTTTAGAAGAGACTCCACAGAGTGAACATAGAGACAAAAAGATGGTCAATATGGAGGAGAGGGTAAGAGACACATAGGATACATTGAGAGGGGCTAACAGACACATAATTTGAATCCTAGGAGGAGGAAGAGAGGGAGATAATAGGGCAGAAGTTAATACTTGAGGAGGTAATGGCTAAGAATTTTCCCAAACTGAAGAAGGATAATAAGACAGTTTCAAGAAGGCCTAGCCCCAAACAGGAAAAATAAACAAAAAGAAATCCTCACTGAGGCAGATGAGAATTAAACTGCTATAAATCAAAGACATCTTGTAAACTAAACAGGAAAAAATATCGTTAAAAGCCTCTAGAACAGGCTGGGTGTGGTGGCTCCTGCCTGTAATCCCAGCACTTTGGGAGGCCGAGGTGGGTGGATTACCTGAGGTCAGGAGTTTGAGACCAGTCTGGCCAACATGGTGAAACCCCATCTCTACTAAAAATGCAAAAATTAGCTGGGCATGGTGGCAGGAACCTGTAATCCCAGCTACTCGGGGGGCTGAGGCAGGAGAATCACTTGAACCCGGGAGGCGGAGGTTGCAGTGAGCCAAGATCGTTGCAGTGAGCCAAGATCGTTGCAGTGAGCCAAGATCATTCCATCACACTCTAGACTGGGCGACAATAGAGAAACTCCATTAAAAAAAAAAAGCCTCTAGAACAAAATACATATTATCTCCAAATAAGCAACAATGGAACTCACAGTTTACATCTCAACAAAAATAATGGAAGCCAGTAGACAATGGAGACAATGGAATATCTTTACAGTGCTAAAGAAAAAGAATTGTCAATGGCGAATTCTATATGGAGCAAAAAGATCCTTCCAGAATGAAGGCAAAATAGAGACATGTTCAGACAAACAGTAATTAAAAGAATTCACCATCAACAGATCTGCATTATAGAAAATACTAAAAGGTATTCTTTAGGTAGAGAAAAAACAAATCTAGATTGAAGTTTGTACAGGGAGGAATGAAGAGGAATGAAAATGGTAGATACATGGTGAATCTGAATGAATATTGGCTATATGTAACAATATTTAAAATATTGTTGGATTCTTTTTTTCTTTTTGTGAGAGGGAGTCTTGCTCTGTCGCCCAGGCTGGAGTGCAGTGGCGCGATCTCGGCTCACTGCAATCTCCGCCTCCCGGGTTCAAGCGAGTCTCCTGCCTCAGACTCCCAAGTAGCTGGGACTACAGGTATGCACCACCACCACCACGCCCAGCTACTTTTTGTATTTTTAGTAGAGTGGGGGCTTCACCATGTTGGCCAGGATGGTCTCGATATCCTGACCTCATGATCCACCCGCCTCAGTCTCCCAAAGTGCTGGGATTACAGGCGTGAGCCACCGTGTCAGGCCTCCATTGGATTTTATACACATTCAGACACACAAAAACACACATGCATAATTGAAGTACCAAAAAAACTTTAAAAGTAGTAGATTTCCACAGATTGTTGCTTTTCTACTTCATCTTCTTTGTTTCCTTTGTTAACTCTGATTGATCTAGTTCTGATACATTTCTAGAATGACAGACTTTACTGGATCCATACAAGGCATATTTTTAGAAGAGACAACTTGAGTACATTCATATGGCAGCTTGTAAGCATGAACCCCTTCTCCTGTGTGTATTACTGGGGGAAAGTTTCATTGTTCTGGGCTATTTTTATAATGTGAAGCAAGCTAAAAGTTTTTGAGTGCCTACTCTCTGTCAAGCTCTCAGGTACAAACTTTACAAAAAGTATTTTGTTTAATGTTCATAATAGTATTAGTATGGAATAGTATTGCTCTTCCAATTTTGTAAATTTTACGAATAGTCACAGAGAGATTAAGTCACTTGCCTAATGTCATAGCTATTAGCTAATGGGTTTAGGATTTTATCCCAGTCATTGGCCCCCAAACCCATTTTCTTTTTTCTGTGCCTCCTGACCTCTACCCTTGTGAGCAAAGACATTACAATGCCACCAAAAGAGATGAACTAAGCATTCCTGCTACCCCCCAACAGTGGTGAATATTGACTGAAATAAGTAGGATCCAAAGGCATGAGCTCATGGGCTTGTTCCATGGTACAGATAATTGTGATGCAGTGTTTGCCTTATAGCCACTCATACAATTCTAGTTACCCTGTACAAGTGTGTGACACTATTTGGTTTCAAAACTACATTTACATCACACACAGAAACATATATGTGCATATATACATAGACAAATATACTTACAAGTGACTGTATCAGATGGGGATACCCACTGTATTCTAAGTAGGAGGACCAATCTGGAACTGGCTCCATAGATCCTCTTGCAAACCTCTTAGAGTCATTAACAACATAAACTGAACAGAAGGAAACCAATCCCACATCAAGTGGAGATTGTTTTGCTGCAAATCCAAGTCATAAAAATAAAACTCTCAGGTGTTAACATCTGTCTCGTAAGACTCTCTACCAGAGTTGCGGTTTGCTTATTCTTGCCCAACACCAGGCAGAGGTAATGTGACATTCAGAAGACCAGAAGCCTTAGTTCCAAACATGTCAGCCTCTTTTCTGGTTCTGCGTGTTCCCGGATAACTCCCTGTCTCCTTGCTGGCAGATGGCCGGACACCTACCCATGGAGAGGCCCTTGGTGTGTGAGCCACATTATACACACTTCACAGGGCAGGCAATATTTAATTTTCTGAAAATAACATCTACTGTGTTCTCATAGGTAAACTTATCTGAGGATTTCCACGTTACCAAGTATCTGTAGACTCATTAAGAAATGTCTACAAGCCCTTTATAACAGGTACTATAATTGATTAGTGCAAAAGTCAGGATACAGATACACGTGTTTCCCTCTAAAGACTTCATAATGTTATTGGACATTTTGAAAGCCTTTCATTATTTCCGCATCTCAAAACTCCAAAGACACCACTCTTGTAATCCCAGCACTTTGGGAGGCTGAGGTACAATTGTGAAATAGCAAAAGAACGAACATAACTAACTCCATTTTTGTTTAAAGGGTTTTACCCTTTCCTGCACGTAGGCTAGGATAATTTTATGGCACCGAGATAATATACACAAACAACAATCATGTACTTTTAGAAACTAACTCTGGGATTAAAGGGGAAGTATATAAACAACTAACTATATATTGTTAAAGACTGATAGGAGTGGCTGGGCACGGTGGCTCACGCCTGTAATCCCAGCACTTTGGGAGGCCGAGGCGGGCGGATCACCTGAGGTCAGGAGTTAGAGACCAGTCTGGCCAATATGGTGAAACCCTCTATTAAAAATACTAAAGACTGAAGGAGCATTATGACCTGACCAAGGACAAAGAAGTTCTCAACCTTCTTGAACCCTCACTGGTGCCCAAATGTCTATGGTCCTCAGTCTCCTCGATACTAACCCCTTCGTCTCCCCCCATACCCCCCTCCCATAAAAACCCTCCAACCAGCCTAAAAAATTGGAGATTTTACTTAATTTTTACAAAATTATTATTTCTTGAGATGGATTCTCTGTTGCCCAGGCTGGAGTGCAGTGGTACAATCTCGGCTCACTGCAACCTCTGCTTCCTAGGTTCAAGCTATTCTCCTGTCTCAGCCTCCTGAGTAGCTGGGACTACAGGCATGTGCCACCACACCTGGCTAATTTTTGTATTTTTTAGTAGAGATGGTGTTTGGCCATTGTGGGTCAGGCTGGTCTCAAACTCCTGACCTTAGGTGATCCGCCTGCCTTGGCATCCCAAAGTGCTGGGATTACAGATGTGAGCTACCATGCCTGGCCTGGAGATGGTACTTTAGAAGGCTAGCTCATCATCTTCTCAATTTCTCTGGCTTTCCCAATAAACCTGCTTTTCCTCTCACCAACCTCATCTCTCGTATTTGGCTTTTGAGTGGTGAGCAGCCAAACCTAAGTTCAGTTACAGAGGTGCGAGGGTCACTCGAGCTACTGCACCACTCCAGCCTGTGTGCCAGAGCAAGACTCTGTCTCTAAAAACCAAACCAAACCAAACCAAACTCCAAATCTCCAAAGACAGGCCTTAGAATTAAATGCTGTGGTGTGAACCATAGCTAGAACAGCCTGCCGAAAAATTCACGAGAGAAAAGTGATGGAGAGAGAGAATATTTGAGATGCGTACTAAAACAAGATGACGTTAATGGAATTTTTTTTTTTTTTTTGAGACAGAGTCTCGCTCTGTCACCCAGGTTGGAGTGCAGTGGCACCATCTCAGCTCACTGCAATCTCTGCCTCCTGGATTCGAGCGATTCTCCTGCCTCAGCCTCCCAAGTAGCAGGGATTACAGGTGCCCACCACCACCCCTGGCTAATTTTTTATATTTTTAGTAGACACGGGGTTTCATTCACCATGTTGGCCAAGCTAGTCTTGAACTCCTGATCTCAGGCGATCTGCCCGCCACAGCCTCCCAAAATGCTAGGATTACAGAAGTGAGTCACCGCGCCCACCTGGCCTGTTAATGAAATTTATGTTAACCTAGATAGGCTTGGGAGATTCTTCTTTAATCACTTCAAAGGCTTCTCTTTGTTTCTTTTTGCCTAAATTCTGCCTTTGCTTCCTACCAAAGGAGCTGTGTCACCCTGCGAAAAGATGCCACGACCAGATATCAGCTGGGTCCATGAAAGCTGAGGTGGGAGCGGAAGATTATTCAGATAATCTGATCATTGTAGGCACAGATCGGATAGCTTGCCAGCCCAATGCTAGTTTTCTCCTCACTAATTAGTGTGAACTACCTAGACAATGTACTTTTTCCCCCTTGGGGTCTGAATGTATGAGAAGTAAAATAAGGTTTTTTTCCCTTCTTTGGTGAAAGTTAAAATCTTGTTGCACACATCTCAAATAGGTACACTCAAGCATTCATAGCAAATCTATCTTTATTTTATAATTAGGTTTGTCATAAGGATATAAACATTCTTAAAGGTTAACTGATCATTAACCGTTAATGAAGAAATCTCACTGAGGGGTTTCTCAGTGAGAATATATATCATCAAATCTGTTGCTTGAAATTCCCTTGGAGAGGAGCCTTCTCCATCTCAAAACATGCTGTCAATGCCAGCGGGGACTGGTTTGGATGTGAAACAGAGACGGTGTGATTTTGTAGGATGATGTCATCTTCAACTGGAACAATAAGTCTGTGAATTCCTTGAATTTAAAACCCATATGGGTATTCTCTATGATGCTGATAGCTTCAAAATATTGTTATTATTATTATTTTTTTTTTTGAGATGGAGTCTTGCTCTGTTGCCCAGGCTGGAATGTAGTGGCACTATCTCGGCTCACTGCAAACTCCACCTCCTGGGTTCAAGCGATTCTCCTGCCTCAGCCTCCCGAGTAGCTGGGAGGCATAAGCCACCACACCTGGCTAATTTTTGTATGTTTAGTAGAGACGGGGTTTTACCATGTTGGCCAGGCTGGTCTTGAACTCCTGACCTCAAGTGATCTGCCTGCCTTGGCCTCCTAAAGTGCTGGGATTACAGGTGTGAGCCACCGTGCCCGGCCTCAAAATATTATTGAGGGTTCCTAATGATACATTTCAGGCTTTCCAGTTTTAATAAAAGTTCAACAAGTATACACCGAGCACCTGCTAAGTGTTAGGAACCTTAGAAGAGTATCTATTGGTTAAGACCTAGTTTCTTGCCTCCCACCAGGAGACAGAACATACACGCAAAACGGGTACATTTGGACACCAGTGACCACACTATCCGATGACGTCCACTCAGATGTCGAATGGGCAACTCAAACTTAAAGTGACCTAAAACACACCAGACCTCCCGATGTGCCCCTGCCCGGTGGCCATCCCATGTTCTTCCCCATCTCCATAAATGGTATCCCATTCTTCCGGCTGTTCAATCAAGCACCTTGGAATCATACTTTCTTCCGCTCTTTCTCTTACATCACAAACATCCCAATTATAAGCAAACTGTATGGGTTCCTTTTCCAAATACACCTAGAATGATACTATTTTTTTACTACCTCCACCACCTTTGTCCTGGCCAAGCTGCATCTCACTCGCTCGGTCACCACATGCAAGCCTGATGTGGTCTGCATGTGCCCCTTACTCCCTACACTGTAGCAACAGTGGTCTCCTTGCTGGTTCTTTAACCCCTCTTGCGCCTTCCGTCTGGGCACCTGCTACTCTCTCCATTCATTTGGAATCTTTTTTGCCTCACGTACTGTTGCCACCCACTGTCCTTTTCAGAGAGAACTCCCCTGACAGTTCTATTTAAAATAACAACCCTCTAGTTTCCATAGCTTCCTTTTTTTATTTTGAGATAGGGTCTTGTTCTGTTGCCCAGGCTGGAGTACAGTAGCATGATCATGGCTCACTGCAGCCTTGACCTCGTGGGCTCAAGATATCTTCCTGCCTCAGCCGCCTGAGTAGTTGGGACCACATGCATGCACCACCATGTCCAGCTAATGTTTTGTTGGTGAAGATAATGATGATCATTATGTAGAGATGGAGCCTTGCTATGTTGGCCTGGCTGGTTTCAAAACTCCTGGCCTCAAGTGCCCTCTTGCCTCAGCCTCCCAAAGTGCTGAGATTACAAGCATGAGCCACCTAGCCTGGCCCCTTCTCCTCTTTATACCAGGGATCCCCAACCCCCAGGCAACAGACCAGTAGCAGTCCATGGCCTGTTAGGTACTGGGCTGCACAGCTGGAGGTGAGCAACCATTCCAGACTGAGCTCCGCCTCCTGTCAGATCAGTCGCAAGCATTAGATTCTCATAGGAGCGTGAACCCTATTGTAAACTGCGCATGCAAGGAATCCAGGTTGTGCACTCCTTATGAGAATCTAACTAATGCCTGATGATCTGAGGTGGAACAGTTTCATCCCAAAACCATCCCCCTCCCTCTTCCCATCCTGCCAAAAAATCTTCTTCCATGAAACCAGTCCCTGGTGCCAAAAGGGACTGGTTATCTTCTTATGCATTCTTTTTTATTTACTTGTATATTTGTCTGTTTTGCCTCTTTCCCCAAACTCAGTGTTCTATCTCCAGAGTCTAAAAGACTTCCTAGCAAGTAATAGGTGCTCAGTTAAAATCTGAAAGAAGAGGCCGGGCATGGTGGCTCACACCTGTAATCCCACCACTTTGGGAGGCAGAGGCGGGCTGATCATGAGGTCAGGAGTTCAAGACCAGCCTGACCAACATGGTGAAACCCTGTCTCTACTAAAAATACAAAAAAATTAGCCAGGCGTGGGAGCAGGTGCCTGTAATCTCAGCTACTCTGAAGGCTGAAGCAGGAGAATTGCTTGAACCTGGGAGGCGGAGGTTGCAGTGAGCCAAGATCACGCCATTGCACCCCAGCCCAGGTGACAGTGCAAGACTCCGTCTTAAAAAAAACAAAAACAAAACAAAAAAAAAACTGAAAGAATAGTTCTGTTTGCCTTCTGTATGGAAAAACATTGCAATGGTACAAGTGGACAACAGGGGGCAATAGAGAGACTGCCTGTCTTTTTTTTTTTTTTTTTTTTTTTTTTTAACCAGCCAGAACTAAAGTGGGCTGTGACCTCCCCCAGGGAGAGGAGCAGTGCTTTCTCCAGGGTGTGGCTTTACCGCCTAACAGGCAGCTTTCTCAGCGGAGCCATAGCCACCTCACCTTGTCAGATGCTGAGGTCGTCATGATTTTATTGAATCACACTTCAGTTATTTTCTCTCCACTCTCGTTCTTGCAGCTGTGTTAGTAATCATTAAGTCATTTTATGATCTTGCTGGGGTTCCACACATTTTCCAGAATGGTTTCTGATTAAATCCCAATGAAAATAAACTCATGGGAGCAGTACCACAGATAACCAAAGCACGTTACATAACGCCAGACAGCTCAATATAGCCCATTTTTTCATCCAGTAAATATATCCTGTTTCAAACACCCTAAGCAGTAAGTAGAATAGCCTTTATAACTTTTCTTTCTTTCTTTCTTTCTTTTTTTTTGAGACAGAGTCTCACTCTGTCGCCAAGGCTAGAGTGTAGTGGTGCCATCTTGATTCACGGTAACCTCTGCCTCCCAGGTTCAAGCAATTCTCCTGCCTCAGCCTCCCAAGTAGCTGGGATTATAGGCGCCTGCCACCACACCAGGCTAATTTTTTTGTATTTAGTAGAGACGGGTTTTCACCATGTTAGTCAGGCTGGTCTTGAACTCTTGACCTCAGATGATCCACCCACCTCGGCCTCCCAAAGTGCTGGGATTACAGGTGTGAGCCACCGCGCCCAGGGATGGCCTTTATACTTTTGTAAGCTTGAGGGCCCTCTGTCTTTCATCTCTGGATGCCCTGTCGCCAGCACCTCTTGCTTTTGGGGGTGGACCGCCTCCCACCCTCCTCCACTCTTTCCCTCCCTCCTCCCACTGCTGCCAGCAAGCCCATGTGCTCATCAGTGTGGTTATAAGAGATCTGCCTACCCCTTCCTCCATCCATCCCCCTAAATCGACTCCTCTAGAACTGTCACCTCCAACTCCCATTTTGGATGGACGAACCTAGACAGGGAGACAACACCGACTCACTTCTGGGCTCATAATTATTTTTTAAATGTCACCTTCCTAATCTGACTAATGACTGGCTTTTAAGAAAAATTTTAGCTCCTCTGTATGAAAATTCAATAAAATTCCTTTCACCACTTAGTCAATAACTACTATATCTAAACACTATGCACATACACGCATATTTATGCTGTTTGATTGTATATTTCAATCTTAGATTGGTGCTATGTCTATATACACACATATGTACATATCACCAAAAACAAGATAGAAAGAAAACAAAACGTCTGTTGTTTAAATATGTCTCCCATTTCCTTCACAAGAGTCCCTGTTTTCACAAATTGCGAAGGGCATCTGTTTTACAAAACATTTTTTCATGACACTATCCCAGACATACAAATTTCGCCTGTTGCTGGGAGCAATGAATTCTCTCATAAGCTAGGTTTCAGTAAGTATGTCTTGTTTTTTGGCGAAATTATTAAATTGGGCATTCTTAACTTTGTCTGCAAGTGAAATTCTCAGTCTTGTTTTACCTGTAGAGAAAGGCCGGTCTGCTTTCCTGGAAGGCTAAGTCTGCATGGTTACGTTCTCAGCATGAAAAAAATCAGAAAACCCCGTCTCAAAGATGAAGGGGGTAAGCGAGAGACCCATTTACTGCAATGTTTAAAAATCATTAATAAAAACAGTCAAAACGCTTTGGCTGAGTGTAAGAATCTCTGTGAGTGTTCTATTTAAAACACTGAATCATGTTCACGCAAAGCCTGACTCAGTCCTTGGTGGAAGTGTTTCAGGGTTGTTCAGTAAACCCACACCCTAGCACCGGGACGCCTCCTAACACAAATCCCACATTAAAAGCTGGGTTTTTCTTACACATGGTAGCGTGGCTCACAGAGCTCCCTTGTGGGAAGGCCCTGTGGGGAGGCTCAGGGATGGCCAGGAAGGACACTGCCCAGTGAGTGACCACAGCAGCTGTGACACGGAAGCCCTTAGGCACACAGGTTCTAGCTCACTTGCCTTCCTTTTCTGGGGCCTTAAAATGTGTGCCTTAGGCAGGGAAGGGTGGCTCATCCCTGTAATCCCAGCACTTTGGGGGCCTGAGGCGGGAGGATCACATGAGCTCAGGAGTTCAAGAGCAGCCTGGGCAACATGGCAAGACCCCGTCTCTACAAAAAAATAGAAAAATTAGCTGGGCGTGGTGGTGTGTACTTGTGGTCCCTGTTCCTAGGGAGGCTGAAGTGGGAGGATTGCTTGAGCCTAGGAGGTCAAAGCTGCAGTGAGCTATTATGGTGTCACTGCACTCCAGCCTGGGCAACAGAGCAAGACCCTATCTCAAAAAAAAAAAATGTGCCTTAAAGAACAACATAATATTCAGTGCTAAAAAGAAATGAGCTATCAGAGCAACAAGAAGACATGGAAGAACCTGAAATGCATATCGCTAAGTGAGAGACGCCAATGTGAAAAGGCGACATACCGGATGATTCCAACTGCATGGCATTCTGGAACAGGCAAAACTATGGAGAGAGTAAAATGATCAGTGGGTGCCAGGAGTTTCAGGTGGGGTGTGGGGGACAAATAGTTGATGCATAAGGGATTTTTAGGGTGGTACAGCTGTTCTGTATAATAATGTAATGCTGGATACATGACATCATAAATTCATCAAAAACAGCATGTACAACACAGAGTGAACTGTAGTATAAACTATGGACTTTAGTTAAAAATAAGGTATCGGTACTGGCTCATCAGTTGTAACCAATCTATCACACCAATGCAAGATTTTAATAACAGGGAAAACTGTTAGGTGTGTGAGACCTCTCTCTACTTGCTGTACACCTAAAACTGCTTTAAACAATAGTCTTTAATTTTTTTCTAAATGCTATAAACAACAACAGTCTGAGAGAATCAAAACATATAAGATGACCCAGTTGGGGGCACATATAGCACATACAGTTTAAAGGAGAGCATTTTTCTCCTTTTTTTTTTTTTTTAGAGAGGTACAAAGACCCACAAACAAAAATGTGGTTTGACATAGTTTCTCTGTTGGAGCCTTTCCAGCACCAGAACAGACAGGAAGTGTGTATTACCAACAACTGCGGCACAAATCCAGGGCTGGGCTCTGCACACAGGGCAGTCACCAACTATCTATTTTTTGATACATTAGGATTCATCGCCACCAAGCTCGGCATGTTCAATGTTGGCAAGTGGGTCTGCCTTGGCTGCAAAGGGACTGACTCTACAGGCTCATGTGCCGCCTGCATGAGGGCCTCGGCTATTTTTAGGTACCAGCTAATCCATTCAATGCATAATGTTACCACCGATGACTCACAGCTCACAGAAGTCAACCAAAAAATAGTAGAATGAAAGGAAAGCCATCGGTAGACAGCCAGTAAGTACATCATGATAACAACTGCTGTACGAGCACACACACAGGCACACTCACACCCACGCCAGGACAGTCGGGAGGAGGAAATGGCACTGAATATTAAGCAGCCACCGAGTCAGGGAAGCAGTCACCTCGGGAGGCGCTGGGAAGCGACAGACGGCCCTAATAACACAGAGCCTGGCATTTAGGAAAGAAGCAAAGGAACGTGTCAACCCAGAGCACTTTACCAATACATTTTACAACTCCACTGAGCAAATGCTGTGTACTCTTCAGAGAAGCTGAACCTAGGAAGGGTGAGACAGAAGGATGGGATAATATAGAACGCCGCCAGATGGAAGCCAAAGGCTCCCCAGCTGGGGCCATCCTGGGCAGGGCTGTCCCAGCGGGCACGTCACTAACAGCCTCTTGCAGAAGAGGAGCCTGGGAGCCCTTGTTTCTGCATTGGTTGTCTTACTGATCTGGAGGGCTGGAGCACCAATGCACCCCTCAAATCCAGTTCATACTCAGAAATACAGATTGATATGCTCACGCAGGCTGGCATGACATCATTTAGCCTTAGAAACAGGAACGGCGGGAAGGGTGCTCGCCTCGGCCACTCGCGGGATTCCACCCCGAGGATTACAGGCAGGGTAAAAATGGCTTATTGTGCTCATTGGAAAAGTTCAGCCTTCTTTCTAGACTTTCATCAGCTGCCTCTCCTTCCATAAACTCTTTTTAGAACACGAGGCCTTTGATTTATTTTTCAGCTGTGAATCACTTTCTCAGGGCCCGAGCCATCTAAGTTGAAGCAGGGAAGGGAAAACTAACATTGCACAAGGTCCCAGTGCTACTGACGGGTGAGGGATATGTTCAGACTCAGATCTCTTCAGTGCCAGTTCCTGCATTTTCCAAGCAGCTAACCTACTTCCTACCCAAGGAGGAGGTGCGAAGCCCCATCCTTCTTTTGAGTTGCATTGGCTCCCACGTTGATGCTATCGCCTCGGGGGTCGCATCTGGATGCGCCACAGACTTATGGCCTCAAACTTGGAGGATATTAAGTGGATTATATTTGGCAGTGAGGCCCAAGGGAAGTGATTCTGTCATCCTTTGGGACTCTCAACCAGAATCAAGGCATGGCAAAGCAGCAACTCTCTTCCAGGGTGGGGAACGTGCTATCACCCTCCACTGAAGAGGAAGGAGGCTTCCTTTGGTGCACGCAGTAACAATGGACAACACCTGGCATTCCCCTTTCCTCCCACAGCACCTAGGTGGGGGCCTGGGGGATGCATAGACGCTTTGCTCGAGTGGAGAAAAGCTGTACTGGGCAGGGCAATGCCACAGGGATAGTGACAAACACGGAAAAGCATTTTTCTCCTACATTGCCTCGTCTGGAGCGTCAGCTGGGACAATGCTGGGGGCATCTTTCCACAGTCTTAATGAGGAATTCAGCCCCTTAAAAATCATCCCCAAACTAAACACCCCTCAGTTTTATATGCCATGGCTTTAGTTCCCATGAGGTCTGTGTGCCGCTTAGCATGAGGTCAGTACATGTTCATCTTAATGCTCTTCTTGGTTTTTTGTTAACCGACGCTAATAAATTTTTACAAGGGCTGTGCTGTTCTGGAAAGTATAAAAGTGAAGCATTAAAAAACGGAACCCTCTCAAGAGATTATCTCCTATGAAGAATCATACGTGGCCGGGCGCCGTGGCTCACGCCTATAATCCCAGCATTTTGGGAGACCGAGGTGGGTGGATCGCTTGAGCCCAGGAGTTCCAGACCAGCACGGGCAAGATAGCAAAACCCTGTCTCTACAAAAAAACACAGAAAATTAGCTGGGTGTAGTGGTACACACCCATAGTCCCAGCTACTGGGGAGGCTGAGGTGGGAGGATCAATTGAGTCCAGGAGGTTGAGGCTGCAGTGAGCCAATGATCCCATCACTGCACTTCAGCCTGGGTGACAGGGCAAGACCCTGTCTCAAAACAAGCAAACAAACGAACACAAAAACCCACAGAAAAACAAAACTCATTTGCCTGGTTTAGAGAGGAGAGTGCTGCAGCTCAGAGAGGTGAAGTAACTTGTCCTGCCAGAGACCCAAATCCGCACCCCTGGGTCTGTCACCACCATACTATATCACACTGCTTTCCCTGGGGGTGTGATGTTGGGGGGGTCTTATGAGTTCAGGCATCCTCAAGAGTCTGTTCATGCAGGATTTCTGCCTAGAGTCACAATGCCATCTGTTTTGGAGAAAACCATCTCTTCTTCCACAACTTCCCCAATCAAATTTGTGATTTTGCTTATTAAGCTCAACAATTTGCACATTTCTGAATTTCTCTGTGGGTGCAGTGTCAGCAGTGCCTAACCAGTTGAGAAGACCAGGAAGATTCTTCAGGCTAGGGGAGAAAACCCCTCAGGAAGGCACTGCAGAGGGGAGAAGGATGTAGCCTTTGGAACCTCAATTAAGTCCAGATATGAGTTCTCTCTCTCCCTCCCATCTCCCCCTCTCATGCTCTCTGTCTGAGTCTCCACTGACTCTGAACCTGTCACTTGTGGCAAACACAGCTGGTGGAGTATTTTAGCTGTGATGATGTCAGCCGATTTCTGATAGGCTCCTCGGTAAAGTGACAAATCATTGGTTGCGTCAGGCCTTGCACTTTTGTTTCTACAGCGTGAAGCCCTAGCTGCCTTTTCAGCAGGTCTCAGCACACTTGCCTTTCTTTGAGGAAGCCCTTCCCGGCATGCAGCATAGCCACGCGGGGGCCAACCTCACAGACCTGCCAACAGGCCCTGACAACACTTCTACCTGCTCGTCTGCACCCTGGCTGTCAGTAGAGAGATTTAGTGATCTCACTATGGGAAAAAACATGAGAACAGGGCTCTGACTTCACAGGGAAGCCAATTTCTCTTTCATTTAATCATTAATTTTGCAAAGTTTGGAGTAGGGAAAAACACACCTAGATCTTCCTCCCCAAGAACAGAAGAGGGCTGTAAGGGGCTGGGCGCAGTGGCTCACGCCTACAATCCCAGCTTTAGGAGGCTGAGGCGGGTGAATCACCTGAGGTCAGGAGTTCGAGACCAGCCTGGCCAACATGGTGAAACCCTGTCTCTACTAAAAATACAAAAATTAGCAGGGGGTGATGGCGTGTGCCTGTAGTCTCGGCTACTTGGGAGGCTGAGGCAGAAGAATCACTTGAACCAAGAGGCAGATGTTGCAGTGAGCCAAGATCACCCCACTGCACTCTGCACTCCAGCCTGGGTGACAGAGCAAGACTCTGTCTCCAAAAAAAAAAAAAAAAAAAAAAAAAAAAAATAGAAGAGTCTGGTTTCTGCAGAGGCTGCCAGGCCTGGGAAGTGTGGCCCACAGCTGAAGTGGCTGCCTTCATTCTCAAGCTGAAGTTGATGCTGGCCGGCAAGGAACCAGTCGCATTTCTAAACAAAACCTCTTTTCACACCTGCCTCTGTTCACAAAAATGTGTTAAGGATTCTAAGTACCATGAAAAGCAATGACTCTTCACTCATGTTTATTTTCCATGTGTCACCTGGGGTCTGTGAAGAGTCAACTTTGCTCAAGGTAGTTCATTTTCTTTCTCCTAGTACCCACCCCTAATTCATGCAGGAAGTGAACAGCCACTACAGAGGGGTAGTGAGCTGTATTATTATGCCATTTATTTTAAAAATCCTGATTTTCTTTTTTTTTTAAATAAGATCTTTGGGGAAATCTTTCTTGGGCCCTTCCAAAGACTGTAAACCTACAGTGACATCTCATAATACAAAGAAAAGTATTCAGGGCTAAAAGCTCTCGGCAATGCAGGGCCCCGGCTTTGTGCAAGCCCCCATATCCAGTCATTCACGAGTGGTTCTGGAAAACTGATTTGGTCCTTTCCTCACTTGGGCATTTAAGAAATGCTCAAAAAAGCCAGACATAGGGACTCGTGTCTGTAATCTCAGGGCTTTGGGAGGCCGAGGTGGAAGGACTGCTTGGAGCCCAGGAGTTTGAGACCAGCCTAGGCAACACAGCAAGACCCCATCTCTACTAAAATGTTTTTTATTTTTAAATTAGCTGGGCATGGTGGTATGCACCTGTGGTCCTAGCTACTAGGGAGGTTGGGGTGGGAGGATCGCTGGAGCCTAGGAGGTCAAGGCCACAGTGAGCTATGATTGCACCACTGCATTCCAGCCTAGGAGACAAGAAACACTGTCTCAAAAATGAAAAAAAAAAATGCCCAAAACAATTCAAACCATTAATTAGTTTATCTTTTTTTTCTTGTTTTATTTTATCTGAATGTCCCAAATAGCAGCTATTTCATGACTATTTTCAACTCAAGCTGGAAGGAGGCTCTGTCCCATTTGAATGTTTTCAAATCCTAGATGGAAACACTTGTAGAAAGTACGCTCGATAGCCAGGAAAGCTCTCAGCTGCAGGCTGAACCTGCTGGACTCCCAGCAACTTGGGCAGTGAAAGAAATGGGCTGTGGAATAAATGCATGTAATCGATCTAAGAACCTGGAAAAGGGTAGATTGAAGGAGCCTGTGGAAATTAAGAGCGTTAACCATACTTCCAGTGACTCATCTTGGCTACAGCTGACTTTACCCCAAGCCCAGCAGGTCACCTGGGACAGCCCTGACTTCTCAGATTGTATTAACCACGCTTTTATTTTCTGATGCTTTGATATTTTAGTGTCTTGTGGATCCCAGAGGTATAGTCTCTCCTAGGATTAGCTAATTCCTAGAGGCCTGACTTTTATATGCAAACCAACCAGTCCAGAGCTAATTCCTAGGAGCCTGACTTTCATATGCAAACTAACCAGTCCAGAGCCCACTCCCCAGCAGCCTCCTATATTGGTCCATCACACTTAGGGCTGCCTTCCATCTGTTTTTTTTTTTTTGTCTGAGACAGAGTCTTGCTGTGTGTCCAAGGCTGGAGTGCAGTGGCCTGATCTCGGCTCACTGCAATCCCCACCTCCCGGGTTCATGCAATTCTCCTACCTCAGCCTCTGGAGTAGCTGGGATTACAGGCACACACCACCATGCCCGGCTAATTTTTGTATTTTTAGTAGAGACAGGGTTTCACCATGTTGGCCAGGCCGGTCTCGAACTCCTGACCTCTGGTGATCCACCCGCCTCAGCCTCCCAAAGTGCTGGGATTACAGGTGTGAGCCACTGTGCCCAGCCCTTCCACCTGTATTGATCACCCCAGCACCAGCAGCCAGACAACTAAGGACAGCCCCTACACCCCAGAGCACACTGGAATTATCCACTCTAACCAATCCTAAACCCGTTTACCCTGCCTCCCATGAAACCACAATAAAGGCTGTTGTTTGCCACATTTCCCCTCACTCCCTCCACCTCCTGACCCACCTGGGGCTTCCCCAGGTGCCCCCCACTTTACGGTGTTCTACACCTCTTGGTGTAGAGTGCCCTTTCCTCTTGGGATCAGAGAGTATAAAAATTATCTCGTCAAAGAGAGTTGTCTGCTGATCTATCTGTTGGCCTTATCATACCTAAATAATAAGACATTATATATATGTTGGAGACCGGGCCTTGCTATGTTGCCCAGGCTTGAGTGCAGTGATAGTCACAGGTTCAGCCATAGCTCACTACAGCCTCGAACTCCTGGGCTCAAGTGATCCTCCTGCCTCAGTCTCTGGAGTAGCTGGGACCGAAGGCATATACCACTGTACCCAGCTAATAAGACATATTTTAAAACATGGATGTTGCAATGGGATATGATTGCTTTAGCATCTAATCCCCTCACTCCAACGGCATCCTCTGTCTTTTCCTGGTAAGAAAAAGTGCCGAATGACCACTAGAAGGACCTGAAGTCCAGCAGCGTTTCCTAATCAGGGTTCCTCATCTTAATCACAGAATTCAAAAAATAACTAGAGTGGTGAGTTTCTGGATTGTCTCAAGGACTCCATAACTAGCCCCACTCTCCATGCATGGAGGTTAATTCATTACACACAGCAGAGATCACGGGGAAATGGGGCTTATTTTTTCTAGAGAACGCAGTTGGGAAAGGCCGAGTCTAAGGTCTAGGTGTACCCGAGAACCCTTAATCCTGCCTCATAGAAGCAATTCGTCTTGCCAGGAGATGATGATGGCATCACGGTGTGGTGTCCCATCCCTGTGCCACCCTGGCTAACGTTACCTGGGCTCGGTGCTCCCCGACGGCGAACTGTATCACGGCCACGCCCGGGCTATGGCTGTCTTCAATCCTCTCTACGGTGCTGGAGTCGATCTTCAGGTCGTTGCTTATCTCTGCACTCTGGATGAAATCTTCTGTTTTTAAGTCTTCCACCTTCTTTAGCTCCCCGTTGGCCAACTGGATGATGGAGCCTTTCATGAAGTAGGGAGGCAGCGTAGGGGGAGCCGCCGCCGGGGAGGCCACGGACTGCACCACAGGCAGGTGGATCTGGGCCTGCACCATGGCTGGGTAGGCGGCCTGGGTGACCAGGGCCTCAGGGTTGAAGTTCTCGCTCTTGGGAAGGGCGGTGGTGACGAACGTGTGAGGCACTGCAGCAAACTGGGGGGATGACGTGACTATGGCCGGGGCTGCCCCCGACGCTTCCATGTCAGTGCTGCCGACCGGGATGAGCAGGGGCTGTGTGCCGGGGATCACCAGGTGCTGGGGCAGGCTGCCGGCGTAGGTGATTGCTTGCTGCTGGCCGCTCAGGTAGCCGATGACAGGGGGTTGAGTCCCTGCGTAGAAGGCCGTGGCTGGCAGTCCCACCGGGAGTGGCTCTGAAGCACTGTGTGTGGTCTGAATGACCGTGTGGGGTGAGAGCGCGTAGGACCGGTGGCCAGGCTTCCCTAAATGCAGGCCACTTTTGTCGTTGAGGGTAGAAGGGGAGGCTTCACGATGAGTGGCCTGTTGCACCTCCAGGTCAGCTGCGGGCGTGTTGCTGTTGGGCAGGACCATCACAGAGGCCCGGACCCCCGAAGGATCACGACTGCTGTAGTCTGAGGGGCTCGGGTGGACCACCACGTGCCTGGACTCGTACGGGTGAGGAACCGACTTGCCGCCTGCCTTGCCCAGGCCCAGGTCGGCTGAGGACGGGGCCCCGTACCGCCGGCTCTTCTCCATCTCACCGTTCAGGACCTCCTTGGCCTGGATGGCCTGCTGCAGCCGGCTGCTCTCAGCTTTCTTGGTGGCCTCCCGAGGGACAAAGTGGCTGCCGGAGTCGGCGTATTGCATGACGACCTGGGAGGGGGGCCCCAGGGTGAGCGTGTGTGGGATCATCGTCTGGTGGGGGTGGAGGTGGACGGGGATGGCCGGAGGAGAGGCGGTGCGGCCGGTGTTCTGCGGAGAACTGGAAATGTGGACGTACTGGTTCTGCTGGGCTGGTGGGGGGGACCCCGGGGTGATGAGCCCCGGAGCCCTGCTGAGGTGCTGCTGCTGCTGCTGCTGCTGCTGCTGCTGCTGCTGCTGCTGATGCTGATGCTGCTGCTGCTGCTGCTGCTGCTGCTGCTGCTGCTGCTCAGCCTTGTGTCCCGGCGTCTGGCTCAGACTGCCCATGTTGGCCAGCAGAGTGGAATAGGCCTCCAGCTGGGAGCGCTGGGATGGAGTGGTGGCCCCTGCGGCCGAGGCCACTGCACTGGTGACGGGGTTGGCGGTTGGGGGGATCAGCTGTGATGGGATGAAGCTGGCATAGGTTCCACTGTATTGGGAGGACCCAATGAACTGGAAGGTGTGCGGCAGGTGAGCGTACTGCACGGGGGACACCGGGGTCCCTGGCTGCGGGGTGGCGTACGCGGCAGGCAGCGTGGTGGCCACGGGGACAGACCTGGGAGCGCTGGGCGGGGAGTAGTCCAGCCCTGTGGACAATGCTTTGTGTAAACCTATTCCCTGTTGTAAACCAAGCTCCACCGAGGTCCCTGCCGGCCCATGCCTCCCGCCCCCGTGGCCCCGGCCACCAGGGTTGCCCGGGAGCCATGCTGTGCCCTCCACCCGGTGGTTGTCGCTGGGCAGGGTAGGGGCCTTCTCCTCGGAGGACCGGCTGGTGGCGGGGATCTCGCGCTTCTTGGGAGGCAGGCATTCGTTGCTCCGCTCTTGGTTGGATTTCATTTTTCGCCGTCCCCCCTCCACGGTGACTGTTTCACTGTCTGGATGGCTCTGATTTTAGTCTGATAAACGGAAAGTCACATTTGATTTCTGTAGGGGATCCAGGCTCTTCATGAGGAATCATCTCCCCGTGGGTACAATCCGCCAACAGCAGCTCTGGATGCTGGGAAAGGGAAGAGGGCAGTGACAAAGGGAAAAGGAAAGGGAGGAGAAAGGGAAGGAGGGAAAGGACATCAGAACATGAGCACCGGGGAAAGAACATCTTTGGCAAGATTAAGACTAGGCCCTGGACTCGGTGTGAACTCCCATAACCCAATCATACCCCAAGCACTGAAGCAGAGAAAACACTAGCCAACACTTTGGGAGGCCGAGGCAGGCAGATCACGAGGTCAGGAGATTAAGACCATCCTGGCTAACATGGTGAAACCCCGTCTCTACCAAAAATAAAAAATAAAAAACAAATTTAGCCTGGTGTAACATTAGCTGGCACACGGCTGTAGTCCCAGCTACTTGAGAGGCTGAGGCAGGAGAATTGCTTGAACCCAGGAGGCAGAGGTTGCAGTGAGCCGAGATTGCACCATTGTACTCCAGCCTGGGCAACAGAGCGACACTCTGTCTCCAAAAACGAAACAAAACAACAACAACAAAAACAAAAACACTAGCCGTGGCAGCTGCACATTATAAAGGAAGATTATGAAGACACTGGGCAAGTGAACACTGTAACACATATATTTTTTAATGGAGTTAACAACTCCCCTAAGATGTTCTCAATACCCTCTCTCCTGTTTTTTTTTCTCCTTTTCTTCTTCAAGGGCAGATGATGCAGTTCTTAAATTTCCTTTTCAGAAATGTTGGTTCCATTTCTCACCTCTCCTTTGCCTGGCTGGAACATAAAATGAAGCCCTTGGAGAGCATGACACCAGCTGGACCCTGCCCTCAGAGCCAGGCACTGAGAAAAAGCAGGTTAGCAGTGAAAGTCCAGAACAGTCCTTGCACTCGATTTCTGAATCCTCATCTGCCAGAGCCACTACTCTCCAAGATTCCCCTTAGCTCTGGGTCCACACTGGACCTACGATTTCCTCTCCCTAATACACACACACACAAACACACACACACACGCCAACTCAGCAGAGGCCGCCAGAAATAATCCTGTTCTCTGCAAGTTTCAAAAGAATTCCCAGTACAGCCACTCATATGATGACGGAGTGAGACTGTTAAAAACCGAATTTGATTATGGTTAAAAAACCCAAATACCATACAAAAATAGGGCTAGTGCACTGAATGTTTTCTCAGTGGGTTACATGCTTGGTTTGTCCATCTCTCTCTTCCTTTTCAAGTTGTCATTGAAGTTCCCCTTCACACCGTCCCCTTTCTCATTGGAAAGTAACAACTCGCCATTAACACTAGAGACGACAGCTCTTTCAGACAAATCAGATCAGTGTGTTCAAACCTGGACATACAAATGGTGACCCTGGAGCCAGTTCTTATGGTCAAGTATCTCAGTCTCTTACTAACCACTGAAGTCTGAGTTACTGCTGCTGTGTGGGCAAACCAATGCCCAACAGACAAGAGGCCAAATATCAGTGGAACTGACATGACCCAGGCTAGCAAGCAGCGGATGTGATTGCTTCCACAGGTAGCAGCTGTAGGTATGCACAGTGCAACATGCTGTGATTCTGAGAGCTGTGGGATTGGGCTTTGGGAATTCCACACCCTTGGGTTTTGGTATCTCACATCCAGACCCTCTTTTCAATGATCTGATTTTCTTTCTTTCTTTCTTTCTTTCTTTGGAGAGATGGGGTCTTGCTATGTTAACCAGGCTGGTCTTGAAATCCTGGCCTCAAGAAATCCTCCTTCCTTGGCCTCCCAAAGTGCTAGGATTCCAGGCATGAGCCACTGTGTGTAGCCAATGATCCGATTTTAAAACAAACACAATAAAGTAGCGGCCTTCAGCATTCAATCCTTGTCCATGTTGGAGCAACACTGAAATCCCTACTGAAACATAACCCCCTTTCTCTACTCTGCCCCCTACTTTGTAACTATTTTTTAGAGGGGGCAATGATTTTTTTCCTTCCTTCCTTCCTTTTTTTTTTTTTTTTTTTGAAAAGGTCTTGCTTCGTTGCTCAGACTGAAGTGCAGTGGCGTGATCTCGGCTTGCTGCAACCTGTGCCTCCTGGGCTCAAGTGATCCTCCCACCTCAGCCTCCCAGGTAGCTGGGACTACAGGTGCACGCCACCACACCCGGCTAATTTTTGTACTTTTTGTAGAGGTGGGGTTTTGCCATGTTGGCCAGGCTGGTCTTGAACAGGCCTCAGTGATCCACCCACTTGGCCTCCCGGTGCTGGGATTACAGGCATGAGCCACTGCAGCCAGCTTGGAAGGGGCAATGATTTAATGGCCCTTATTGGTTTTGCTCCAACATCATCAATGAACATCATAATGAAATGACAAATGATACAACAGAAAGTTCTCAATCCTTAATGATTTTGATCAGATATCTAGGAAGGTGCAGGTTTAGAAATTTGGTGTCTCGATATCAAAGGACATTTCAGTAAGAATAGAATTTCTCATATGACAAGAGAGGCGCTTAAAGACTGGGACGGAAATGAAAAATAAGGTTAAAAAAACCCTAAAACACTTATGCTGAAGAAATGAAGTGTTGAAGGAGTAATGTCACTTATTTACTCTCGCAACCCAGGTGTTTTTTTTTTGAGATGGAGTCTCACTCTGTCGCCCAGGCTGGAGGGCAATGTGCCAATCTCGGCTCACTGCAACCTCCGCCTCCCGGGTTCAAGCGATTCTCCTGCCTCAGCCTCCTGAGTAGCTGGGATTATAGGCGGCTGCCGCCATGCCTGGCTAATTTTTGTATTTTTAGTAGAGGCGGAGTTTCACCATGTTGGCCAGGCTGGTCTCGAACTCCTGACCTCAAATGATCCACCAGCCTCTACCTCCCAAAGTGCTGGGATTACAGGCGTGAGCCACTGCGCCCTGCCCACCTAGGGTTTTTGTAAGTGACAAATAACTGTGTTCTGTACAGCCTTCCCTTGTAAAAAGAAGTTCTAATAATGAACTTTTATCTTTAAATTTCAAGACTCACTCTTAAGAAAGGGAATGCCAAACGCTCCCACATTTCCATACCAACGAGCAAGGAAAACTCATGCGTGAGACCTACTCAGAGAGAACCAGTCCATGCGCCCCCTGCTGGCCCTCCTGCAGCACTGATCCAATAAAACCCCACAGGGTTTCATGAGGGATATTTATGCAAGAGTGATGTGTCAGAATGCAAAATGAGAACATTTGCATATAGTAGGCCCAGCCAGTAAGGGAATAGGTTAATTAGCCCAAGGCAGCACTAGGGAAGAAAAAGCAGCGGCATAAAAGTCCTTTCAAAGCCAAGTAAAATGTCAAACACATTCAGGAAGGGTCTATTAGCAATGCAAATGTAACATTGCCTGTACAATTGAATGCACAATACACAAAACTAGAAAACTCCTCTGAAGGTACTTCTTTAGGAAGCCAGCTTTCGTAAATTTGAAAAAGAATGCTGACTTGGTTCTCAGTAGTGCTCAGGTTTAATTATACTGTTTATTTGAGAGACATCGGCTTAGTCAGCCCTGAAGACTCACTGGACTGGTCTTCTGCGAAATGATTGCTAAGACATATTGGCCTTAACACACAAATCCAAATTTATTCTTCTGAAAACTTATCCATTGATAAACAGCATCTTTTCCAGAGATTGCCAATGAGAAATCAAGGACACAATGATTAAGACAGCAGTTGCAGCGAGCTGGGGCCAAACCGATAAAAGTTTCCACCCATCCTCCTCCTACATTTAGGGCTATTTACCAGTGCAGCACGGAGCAGACAGGGCTCTCTAACGCTGAGGTATGTGTCCCTTCTCTGGGCCCCGTAAGCTTTCAGTACTGATAAGGGGAAACCCACGGGTAGAGATTGGGTCTTGCTGTATTTTCAATGAACCACCAGAGGGCGCCCCAGGATGGCACCACATTCCTGGTCTATCGGGTGATCATGGGACTAAACAACAAAGAAGTAACTTATGAAGGTGGAAAAGTAGATTTGGAAAATAAGGAAGAGAGAAAAAGAAACGAAAGAAGAAAAAAGAAAAAAGGAGAGTGGGATTTCTGCTCTTAGAGTCTCTAGTTGCAGACAACTGGCCTCTGTGTCCTGAATTGCCCTCCCAGGGGACCCCCGAGGAGTTTATCTCTGGAAGCACCTGCCACAACAAAAAGATTTCTTCCAAACATGGGGCCATGCACAATTATATCAATGCCAAATTACCAGAGAGCCACATATGCAGATCGCACTGTTTAAACATTCCTATTGGAAAAGGGAAATTGGAGGGAGAGTTAATAGATGAATCAAGACAAATGTATTTAGAGTTTGCTACCCATGGTTTGCCTGATAATCACTGTTCTGAATACATTCATCTTAAGCCGCTTTAGAGCTACATTAACTATCTCTCTATCATAATTTCTAAATTTAGCCCAGTGGTATAAGGCTTTGCTAGTCGAAGTGTGGTCCTCCGACCCGTGACATCAGCATCCTCTGCAAGTTTGCTGGAAATGCAGACTCTCAGGCCCCACCCAGTCCTGCATTTTAACAAGATATCCAGATGATTCTATGCACAGTAAGGTTTGAGAAACCCTAGCAGCTATCCGATTAAATTTTCTACTGCTAAACTCTTAAGCAAATTAAACATCTCTAGCCTCTTCCTAATGGAGCAGGCACTGGGAAACCAAACTAGGTGTTGTACGTAAACACAGAGTTGATGGAGCCTCGGAGATAAACATCTAATATTTAGGTGATGCTCCACTGCTTCCTCTGGGGTCATCTAAACCTAATACGGCTGCAAATAACAAATGCTGCTTTTCTTCTGGTTCTTTACACAACTGCAGAGAAATATACTTTAAAAAGGCTATTATCATAAATTTTATACACAACTCAATCATTCCCAGGAAGAAAAATGAAATTTAACAAAGGAAGCTCCACACTTCTTTCTTTGCTATAATTTCATTTCGAGAAATTTTTTGCTATTACCATGGATTCAGACTGCTTGGGAAGTGATAGGAAAATGAGATGCTTCTGTGCTAGGGATGTGGGGAATATATGCCCACTGACTGCAAGTCCAGTAAATAGCAGCCAACTGCTCAGAATGGAAGATGCTCTTAGAATTTGATATATAAACTCCTAAAAATACATCTTAAACCTAGGGCAAGAAAATGGGTTGCTTTTCCTACACCCCCAATCCTGTGCTTCTCAGTTTGAATGAACCCATGGCTGCCTGGCCTGTATATCTATGGACAAACAGGGCACGGTTTCAGCTTTAAAGAAGAGGAAGAGCAGGCTGATGAGCTTGTGCCAGGACTGGAAAAACTACGTATGCAAACACTGAAGAGGGCAGAATACCTGGGTGTGAGGACAGAGGTTACTTGGGCATGTCAAGGATTCTCAAAGTGCTGACTCACCAATCTCCTTCCAGCTTTATTACATCACTAAACTGGAAGGCCTGTGTGGTGCACTGGCAGAAAGCACTTCATTTTGGCCAAGCATTAAAAACAGGTCCAAACCCGACATGCTTGGAGTATCTAGAATGGAGAAAGGTGGATTGGATGATAGCTATAATTAGATGCCTTTATGGTTGACTGAACAGGCATGCCCCCAAAGTGGATCACACATTCATTCATCAAACACTCATTCCGTTTCTAGTATGTATGACGGGGACCTCAATTGTTCAATGTCAGTGTGAAGCAAATGGTATGCCAGAACTCTATTTTTAGTTCTGTTCTATTCAATACTAATACAGTGTTTTGGTTATCATATTTCGAAGTAACAGAAGGCTAGAAGGGATATATGTTGCGAATAAGATTCAAATATATCTTAAGAAGCCGGAAGTGATGGTACCAAACCAGGAAAATTAAGATCAATGAGAATAAATGTAAATGCCTGCCCTTGGTTTCAACAGCTCAATTAGCCTACTAGCAGGGTTGAAGAGATCTGGTTTAATAATGGTTTCAATGAAAGAGCCCAGAAAGTTTTTGTTTGACTATACACTCAATATGAACAACCATTTGGTAGGGTTCTTAAAAAGTATAGTAATTATAACCTTCATTAAAAAAAATATAATGTTCAGGCTGGGTTCAGTGGCTCACACCTGTAATCCCAGCACTTTGGGAGCCCAGGAGCTCAAGGCCAGCCTGGACAACATATCGAGATCCTGTCTCTACAAAAAATAAAAAAAATTAGCTAGGCATGGTGGTTTGCATCTGTGGTCCTAGCTACCCAGGAGGCTAAGGCAGGAGGATTGCTTGAGCCCAGGAGGTTGAGGCTGCAGTGAGCCATGATTGCTCCACTGCACTCCAGCCTAGGTGATAAAGCAAGACCCTGTCTCAAGAAAAGAGAAAGAAAACAATGTTCAGAATAAGGGAATAAATACTGCAACCATAGATGGCACGGGTAAAGCCACAGTTGAAATCCTGCTGCAAAGGCACGTGGGAAGGATGGGGCATGTCTAGGGGGAGTGATCAGTTGCGCAAGAGGTCTGGAGGCAAGCAGATGAGTAACAGCTGAGACAACTGGGAATGAGTGCCCTGGGGAAGAACAGAAAAAGCTGCAGCATTAGGAAGCAATGAGAATGGTTAAAAATGGACTGGGCTGCCTCATGAGTCAGGGATCTCTGGGTCACCCCAAGGGTCAGGATAGAAACTCAGGGATATGGGGTAGGGGTCCCTGCCCTGGTTGGGTGTTCGAACTACTTACTCTACATTTTTTTGCCATTAGGAACATTCTGAGACTGTGATTCCACTCTGTGTCAAGGTGGCTGGCTTGTCATCCCAGTCTACTGTCACAATTTCTTCTTGCTGTGTCCTCAGTGGAAACTGACTATTGACCTTCTCTTCCATGTCTATCTAAGCGTGGAGCTTCATGGGGCAGGCCTCTTGGCCCAAAATGAGGAGGCTCCTGAAGGGGACTGAAGGCCCTGTCTAGAGACATCCAGGCCAGAAACCACCAGAGAGGCGAGCTGGGACCTGGCACAACTTTGTAGAAGATGCTGTCTGAGAGCCTCGCCCCAACGCGCTCGGGTTTCCCTTCTCGGCTCTGCACCCCTGGGACATGGGATCTTGCTCTTCACGGAAGTGTAGTGAGTGAGAAGAGAAAAAGCAAGAAATGAAAGCTCGTAATCCAAGCTAGAAGGAGTCCACACGAGGGCCTAAGGACATAAAAAATAAATAATTTTATGTATCTTAATTTTTATCATGAATAAGGAAGGACAGTGGGTTGAATGGTAGATCCCTAAAAGTTATGCCCACTCAGAACCTGGGAATGGCTTTATTTGGAAAAAGGGTCTTTGCAGATGTAATTATGGATTTGGAAATGAGATCATGCTGGATGATCCAGGTGGGCCCTCAATTCAAAGACAAATGTCCTTATAAGAGAAAGGCAGAGAAAGATGTGAGATGTACAGAGGCAAAGGCCCTGTGGAGGCAGAGGCAGAGAGACTGGAATGACGCAGTCCCAAGCCAAGGATCACCCGAAGCTACTAGAAGCAGCAAGAAGCAAGGAAAGATTATCCCCTAGAGCCTATGAAGGGAACATGGCTCCACCAGCACCTTAATTTTAGACTTCAAGCCTCCAGGAGTGTTAGAGAATACTTTTCTGTTGTTTTAAGCCACGATATGTTTTGGTAATTTATTATGGCAGCCCTAAGAAACCAATCCAAATATCTTCCATTTATTGATTACTTATTATACATGCCAAGAACCTTACTTAAATATCTCATTTACTCTTCATAACAAATTTGTGAGGTTTGTATTATTATCTCCATTTTCCAGATAAGGACACTGAGGTTTTCCCAAGGCCATACAGTCAGAGGTAGAACTAGCACTGGAAATCACTTTCTTAGTCTACCCAACCATGATGCGGGTTACACTCACCTCCTGGCTATGGCGATGGCAGCCTCATAGCAAATATGCCTATTTATTTTTCATGTAGAAAAGGGACAGAATGCACAGGGATAAGTAGGGGAAAAGATGTCTAGGGGACCTCTGCACCATGTTGACTAATCAAGAACTGCAGCTGGTGAGACGTTCAGTAAGGAAGAGACTGATCAGTGACCAAGGAAGAGAGGTCAGGATGTTTGTATTTCCCAGGCAAGCAAGCAGGGGACCTCAGGCTCAGCAGCCAAGTTCAAGACCACCCACCCAATTGTGATCCAGGCCATAGGAGTGGTGAGACTGCAGAAGGAGCCTCTGGCACAGGTCGGACGTGAGGAACTGAGAGCACTAACATGCTTTTGAAACAAGCTCTCTCCCTCTAGTGTCACAAGAAGCAAGTTCAAGCCTGCAACCTGGCACAGGCTCCCCTGAGTCCGTGGCAGCCAGCAGCACACACCACATTTTCCTTTTCTTTGAGGCAAGACCTTCCTGGGGGTGGTTGGGTCAGGGGAATCTGCCACTACCACTGCCAGCTGGGACTGCAGTGGGTCAAGCAAAGGCAGGAGAAAAGCAGCCCCACTACTTATATTATCAGCACCACGAATAGTAGTGTTTTTTGACCCCATGCATCTATAGACTTTTTGGGCAATGGATACGACTATACTTGAAGCAATGATTAAAAAATTTAAATCCACCCAAAATAATAGTCTCATTCGGGTGGTCGCTGGCTTGGGTAGCTCTGCGTCCAGTGGGGAGTTGTTCTTTGATTAAGGGCCTTGAAGGGGAGGCTGGAAAGAATTCCTCAAGACACACAGCTGCACTGGCTGCCATTCTGCTGAACTTGTCTGCTTGGCACGTGGTTAAGTTGCTGTCTCCCTTATCCCTAAGTGGGGCTGAGTGATTTGCTACTACCTGTCCACATAATGGAGGGCCAGGCTTCATCAATTCTTAGATTCCTGGCTTCTGCCATTGCTATTCGTAGTGAGCAGATGACAGTTCTGGGGGTGCAGTTAGTGAGCTCTGCCACCCCTGGAAACATCAGGACATCGGCCATGTGGCTGGGGTCCCCCTGCGTGGCTCATGGCACATGTCCGTGAGAGCTGGAGGATCAGCCTGGATGAGGAAGGAGGAGGGGCGGGGCCACAGCTTGGCTGGGCCATCCCTAGAAGCCGGCTCACATGGAAAACGCGCTGCAGTGGCTGTGTAGCCAGTGTCTCTGGCGGCCTGCCCATGCCGGAATTCCTGGAAAGGCTCAAGATGGAAAAATAACCATCTGGATCCAAGCTGGTCCCAAATGAATTGTCTGACAGAGGTTGAGTTGGAGTTTTTAAGAAAAGCTGGAAATGCCTTTCTGTCAAGACCTTTCCTGATTCAATACAGAAGCAAATACTTTTTTGCTTTAAAGCGTAGTGCATTCCAGGTTAGCTACCCGGGGGCACCCACGTTTCTGTTTATCCACCACTCTGGTTGAAGGCTGGGAACAGTTACACAGATGCTTTCCACGCTGCCTGGAGTTAGTGGTTCTCATCCCAGTCCAGACTAACTTGTTTCAAAGTGAGAGGAAGTGAGCCCTCTTCATTATCTTATTTCAAGGACTGATGCAAGAAGATGAAAAGTATTGGCCAAGGTAACACAGTAAGAACTGGGGTCAGGAGGATGAGAACCTGTCACTTTGACTCTCACTTGAATGTTTCTTACCACCACTGTGATAGATCTCACTACCCGATGCATGAAGCATTCACATCCACTGTCCTATTTAGAATATCAAGATAAATATTAATATTATTATTACTAACAATGATGATAATAGATCAATAATATTCCACTGCTATTACTACTAAGGACACACAGAATTGTAGTTAGAGTGGGCTACGCCGTAAGGTAGAGAACAGGTTCAAACCTTGGCTTTACCCCAAACCACCTATGTTATCCATTTTTAAAAATATAATTTTGGCCGGGCGTGGTGGCTCATGCCTGCAAACCCAGCACTTTAGGAGGCTGAGGCGGGCGGATTGCGAGGTCAGGAGATTGAGACCATCCTGGATAACACAGTGAAATCCTGTCTCTACTAAAAATACAAAAAATGAGCCAGGCGTGGTGGCAGGCGCCTGTAGTCCCAGCTACGAGGGAGGCTAAGGCAGGAGAATCGCTTGAACCCAGGAGGCGGAGGTTGCAGTGAGCCGAGATCACACCACTGCACTCCAGCCTGGGCGACAGAGCGAGACTCCATCTCAAAATAATAATTTTAATTTTACTTGCGATTATACATGTGCCCAAGTTTAATGAGGCAAAAATTTCATTTCAACAATGTGTAAAGTTGTAATCTCTGCCTTTAAAATGGGGAAGAATTAACATGCACAGTGCCTAGTATAACACACACTCAGTACATGGTCGCCATCGTAGTTATAATTCAATAAACATTTCCTCATGAATTCTCAGTGATCACCCACACTTATCTGTTGCTCATCTCTCCTGGCCATGATGTAATCAATACAACACCTTCAAACTATCAATTCTTTCAAACATCTGTTTTTTCCTCACATCTGTGATAGAAAAAGAGGAAGTGATGGGTGTTTGAGAGTTCATTTTTTTCTTCACTTGATAGGTGGGATAATATTTATAAGTGCCCAATGTGCAGACCCCTATGCACACCAACAAGAAGGAAGGCAATTCAGCACACAAGCAGAATAAACAGAAAGCTCAGACGCTAAACTCAAGGATGGCATTTCCAGGGAAGGGTTAAGTGCAATGCCTCCGTGTTTCACTCTGCCTGCTTTTCCACAATACTTTTTGGATGAGTAATTCCCAAGACGCATGGTGGGGAAATGCAGAATCCTCCTTCCACATCCCGCAGGGAAGGCTGCCAGCTGTCTACCCGCACACACACTCACGAGCTTCACCACACAACACGATGCAAAGCGCCAGCAACTGCTCCAGGAGGCCTAGGCTGGATCCTGCCAGCCACCAGGGGGCTGGGTTTCCAGGACATTAGACAGCCCCAGTCTACAACAGAGAACATAAAACTCTCCATCAAGTCAGGAAAAAGGTCTCGTGGGAACTGAGGTACTCTGGGAGAGTCTTAAAACTATTCACTGTCCTTGGTGTGGCTGAATGAAAGCAAAGCCAATGCCTCCAGATAATTCATAAACTAACCAGCTGTTCCTCCAGGTGTCACACACTGGCTTACCTTCTATGGTGGTTTCAGTCACTGAGACACTGCACAATTCAATGCTCTCAACTGCAAAGACCCCAAGACCTCCCGGGACCCAGGCTCTCTAAGGCACAGCAGGCAGGACAAGTCACGATGCTTAATTTGTGCAGGCTACAGCAATGCTTTACATATAAATAACAACTAGCATATGATCACCCCATTTCAAAGACAAGGACATTGAAGCTCAGAGTGTAAGTCACTTGCCTAAGATTACATGGCTAAAAAAGGGCAGAAACAACACACAAAAAATCCTAATATGAAAACTTGGGATCTAGTTCTTGGGTTGTGTAGTGGGTCATTAGTGTGTAGTGAAGAATTTTTTTTCTTTTTTGAGACGGAGTCTCACTCTGTCACCATGCTGTAGTGCAGTGGCGTGATCTCGGCTCACTGCAACCTCTGCCTCCTGGGTTCAAGCGATTCTCCTGCCTCAGCCTTCCAAGAAGCTGGGACTACAGGCGCATGCCACCATGCCCAGCTAATTTTTGTATTTTTAGTAGAGACAGGGTTTCACCATGTTGGCCAGGATGGTCTCGATCTCTTGACTTCGCGGTCTGCCCACCTCGGCCTCCCAAAGTGCTGGGATTACAGGTATGAGCCACCGCGCCTGACCATGAAGAATTTAACCTCACCCAAACTCAGGTCTGGCCTTTGCCCCCACCTGTGGGGAGGTGATCTCTCGGCCTCTGGAATGTCCTGCCTCACAGAAGTATGTTTATTGGCCACTGGATGGAGTAACAATGTGATTTATGATGGGGGCTTTGGGCCATGAGGTATACGTTCCAACCTCAGAGGAACTAATAATGAAAGATATTTGCCTGATCTCCAGGAGGGCCTAGGGACTAGAGGTCAGTCATGAGGACAGTAGCAATTGAGCTCCAATAAAAACTCTAGATGCTGAGGTTCGCGTGAGCTTCCCTGGTTGGTGATTCTTCACATCATGGCTGGGAGGAGGTAATGCTGTTCATCACTTCATGGGCAGAGGGCAACAGAAGCCCCATGTCTGGACCCCTCTAGACCTCTCCTATATGCCTCTTACCCTGGCTAAGTTTAACTTGTATCCTTTCCCTGTAATAAGTATGAGTAGAACAGCTTTCAGTGAGTTCTGTGAGTCCTTTTACTGAATTATCAAAACGGAGGGTGGTCTGGGAAACCCCCTGAACTTGCAATTCGTGGTGCAGGCACTGCTCTCTCTAACGTTGTAGTTGGTCACCTTCTTATAGCTAGTGATGGTTATACACTTAAATAGGCCAAGTAATAAAATATAACAACGTTGAAGTAACATCCATCAGCGTTCAGTGATAAGAATGCCTTGTGAAACAATAATTAGGTTAATCTAAATTGGTATACCCCAAACTGTGGCCAGGGAACAGGCAGATGGGTGGTACAGAAAGGAACAGGGATATATATTACTCAGTGTAATGTCACCAGGGCCAAAGGCTCAGAGAAAGCCTCCCTGTGGAAATCTCCCCAATGGCACATACATGTAAGAAGCACTGAGTGGATCAATTTTTGGGGTACAGAGTTCAAAGTGTTGGAGCAATGGGGGAACACATCAGCTAACTTCCGGTGTCTTAATATCCTCAGCCCACTGAGTGAAATTGACTTACTAGAAATCTACCATAGAATACTGAACATCCCAACAGACCAAATGGAGGAGTTGGCTCCCGCACTTGGCTCTGCAGATTTTGGGGACATATTTCCTCCACAATACAAAGGAGGATGCACATGTACCTGGGACACTACTGGTTTCACTGTGTTTGTGGTCATGCTGAATAATGGTGTATCAGTGGCAGCAGCTCTGGCTGAGAGACCAGAACCCTTGCAGCCTTAGTACTAGGGCCATACTCTCTCACCTGCAGAATAAGAAATCAATGCTGACGGCACATCAGACTCACCCAGGGAGCTTTTAAAAACATAATGTCCAGATCTACCCCAGACCAACTGAATAAGAATCCCTAGATGTTGGGACCACCACTGGCATTTTAGGAAATGCACCAGGGGATTCTAATTTGCAGCCAGAGGTGAGAACCTCTGGTATAGAGGATTTTTTTTTTTTTTTTTTTTTTGAGACAGAGTCTCGCTCTGTCCCCCAGGCTGGAATGCAGTGGCGTGATCTCGGCTCACTGCAAGCTCCACCTCCCGGGTTCACACCATTCTCCTGCCTCAGCCTCCCGAGTGGCTGGGACTACAGGCACCCACCACCACGCCTGGCTAATTTTTTTGTATTTTTAGTAGAGATGGGGTTTCACCGTGTTAGCCAGGATGGTCTTGATCTCCTGACCTCTTGATCTGCCTGCCTCGGCCTCCCAAAGTACTGGGATTATAGGCGTGAGCCACCGCACCCGGCTGGTATAGAGGATCTTTAAGCCCCCTAACTCCATCTGTCCTTGGCAGTATGTCTCAGTGATTTTTTTTTTTTTTTTTTTTTTGAGACGGAGTCTCGCTCTGTCACCCAGGCTGGTGTGCAATGGGTGCAGTCTCGGCTCACTGCACCTCCCAGGTTCAAGTGATTCTCCTGCCTCAGCCTCCCAAGTAGTTGGGATTACAGGTGCCTGCCACCACACCTGGCTATGTTATTTTTATTTTTATTTTTGGTAGAGACGGGGTTTTACCATGTTGGCCAGGCTGGTCTCAAACTCCTGACCTGAGCGATCCACCTACCTTGGCCTCCCAACGTGCTGGGATTACAGGCGTGAGCCACTGAGCCCGGCCTGTCTCAGTGATTTTAATTACAGCAGCCAATCCTTTTCCCCACTTTGCCAACACAAAAGTCGTGTTCTAACCTCCTTTAATCATACTTAAAATTATATGCTATGTCCACAATGAGACACCACTTCACACTCATTAAGATGGACATTATATTCTTTTTTTTAAAAAAAAAAACAAAACAAAAATGGAAAATAGCAAGTGTTGGTGGAGATGGGGAAACGAGAACCTATGTGCATCGTTGGTGGGAACGTAAAATGATGCAGCTGCATGGAAAACATTTTGGCAGTTCCTCAAAATGTGAAATACAGAATTACCACATGACTCAGCAATTCCACGTCTGGATATCTACCACAAAGCACTGAAAGCAGGGACTCAGATATTCCACACCCGTGTTCATAGCAGCATTGTGCACACGAGCCAAAAGGTGTCAACAACCCAATGATCATCAACAGATGAATAAACTTTAAAAATGTGGTATATCCTTATGACGAGCTATTATTCATCCCCCTCTCCTTACAAAGGAATGACATTCTGTTACATGCTATGACATTGATAAATCTTCAAACATTATGCTAAGTGAAAGAAGCCAGACACAAAAGAACAATATCATATGATTCCCCTTCTATGAGGAATCTAGAATAGTCAAATTTGGAGAGAGCGTAGAACAGGCGTTAGCAGGAGCTGGGAGGACGGGGCAATGGGAGTTGTTTAACGGTTCCAGAATTTCAGTTTGGTATGATGGAAACATTCTGGAGACAGATGGTGGTGATGGTTGAACAAGAATGTGCCACTTAACCGTGCACGTAAAAATGATTAAGATGGTAAATTTCATATTATGCATATTTTGTCACCAGTCAAAAATTTTTAAAAATAAGTATGTCATGGCTGGGCGCGTTGGCTCACGCCTGTAATCCCAGCACTTTGGGAGGCTGAGGCGCGCAGATCACAAGGTCAGGAGATCAAGACCATCCTGGCTAACACGGTGAAACCCTGTCTCTACTAAAAAATAGAAAAAATTAGCCGGGCGTGGTGGTGGGCACGTGTAGTCCCAGCTACTCGAGAGGCTGAGACAGGAGAATGGCGTGAACCTGGGAGGCAGGCTTGCAGTGAGCTGAGATCGCACCACTGCACTCCAGCCTGGGTGACAGAGCGAGACTCTGTCTCAAATAAATAAATAAATAAATATGTCATGATCTTAAAAGTTTGTGAACAAACTGCATTTCTGTTTTGAAACCACACAGCGCCCCGCTCCCTCATCTGCTTGGAGCTACAAGGATCTCTGAGATACCTGCTGGCATTAGCCTGTATTCCAGGACTGGACGTCAGGGCATCCTTTAAGCCCTTAAAGCTGTATGCCCTTTCTCACATCCGCAAAGGGGACTGTGAGCTGTAAAAAGTGAGGCAGCAGTATCTTAGTGTCACTGCTCTATCATGTCATTGCTCACTGAAGACTGAAAGCTGGCCGATATCCCTGTATGCCTCTTCTCCCCTGATTCTGTCATCAGGTTATGTCAGTTCCACCCTCTGAATCAGGGACTGGAAAACCTTGACGATGCGCGGCCACCTAGTAAATCGTGTGGCTTTGCGGGCCATACACCTCTGTGGCCATTACTCAGCTCTACCTCTGCAGGCTGAAAGCAACCACAGATAATTTGTAACCAGTGGGTGTGGGTGGCTGTGTCCTGATCAAGCCTCAAATATGCCTGCTGCAGGCCTCTGGGTATGTGTTCCCTCTGCTCTGTTAGAGTACTTTCCACACCAGCCACCGCTCCTCCGCAAGGCACTGTCACCTGTTTTCTAATGCAGTGGTTCTTATACTCGAGCGTGCGCATCACATTCACCCGGAGTTCCCAGATGCTGCTGATGCTGCTGGTCCAGGAACCACACTTCCAGAAGCACTGGCCTCACCCATCTTTCAGGTCTCTCCTTCCATGTCACCTCCTTAAGGCTCTCCCCACTCCAACCCCATACCCTCTGCCTCTCCTCTGTGCCTCCTTAGCACCCTGCTCCAACATTCTCATCCACACACCGTTCAGGAACCGTTTCCTCGACTATCCTCCAAGGCTCCAATTAGTCTAACACCAGCCACCCCCGCATGCCTTCACCATGGTGGGCATGATGGTTAATACTGAGTGTCAACTTGATTGGATTGAAGGATGCAAAGTATTATTCTTGGTTGTGTCTGTGAGGGTGTTGCCAAAGGAGATAAACATTTGGGTCATGGGCTTGGAGAGGAAGACCCACCCTCAATCTGGGTGGGCACAATCTAATCAGCTGCCAGTGAGGCTAGAATGAAAGCAGGCAGAAGAACGTAGAAGGACTAGACTGGCTGAGTCTTCTGGCCTTCATCTTTTTCTCGTGCTGGATGCTTCCTGCCCTCGAACACCCGACTTGAAGTTCTTCAGCTTTTGGACTCTTGGACCTACACTAATGGTTGGCCAGGGCTCTTGGGCCTTTGGCCACAGGCTGAAGGCTGCACTGTCGGCTTCCCTACTTTTGAGGTCTTGGGACTCAGACTGGTCAACCACTGGCTTCCTTGCTCCTCAGCTTGCAGGTGGCCTATTGTAGGACTTGACCTTTTGATCATGTGAGTCAATATTCCTTAATAAACTCCCCTTCATATATACATCTATCCTATTAGTCCTGTCTGTCTAGAGAACCCTGACTAATACAGTGGGTCCCCTAACTGCTACTTCCTTAGGCAATCATTCCTAAACTCTCAGCAAAGCCACTTCCGGCTGCTGCAATCCTTGTTTTCACGTGTTTTCGTCATTAGACCGTAAACTCCGATGCTGCTTAGAGACTGAAGTTCACAACCCCTTGGGTTTCTAGGGTGCTGTCCGTCCTTGGTTGGTTACTGTTCTTATCTTGTGTCCATCTCTTGCAGTTTGTCTTCCTTACAAGCTGGTTATTAAAAGGCAAAGGATTTCTGGATCATTTTCTAGATTTTGGATGTGATGATAAAAAACTGAACTCATTACGGAGGGACATAAAATAATGTTGTGGTATCTGCAAAGAATCTGCCCCTTGAGATTCCATTTCAAACATACTTTCTCACGTGAGATTATTAACTCCTGTTACTTCTCGGGTCAGGAAGTACAAGTATAATATATTGTGTGAGATGTTAAAGACACTTGCTATATGGGAAGGCCTCTAAACATTCATATCCAATTATCCAAAACTAATTAAAGATTGTCTTAGGCTCAATCTCAAGGAAACACCTCGGTAGTCTCTGGATTTACTGGAAGAGGTGTGTATTTACAAAGACAACAATTTTGTTGAAACCAGCCTAAATCAATCGTAGGAAGGACAAGGAGATCAGCTGTACACATCGGCCAAGATAAGAATTCTCTCTGCAATAAATGTTTGTTTTAAAATTAGGGGTATGACTCACACTCGGTGAATGGGTGGCTGACTTCTGACCCTCAAAAGATGAATGGCTCATTTTGAAAAGCCCAGCAAGTGGGAAGCCTACTTTCTACCTCCACTGACTTCAGAATGAGGCTGCAGTGTAGTGGAGCCCAAGATGGCCCCGAGTTGTTTCCAGTCACTAGCAAGATGGACAATGGGATGACTCGCTACCTGCAGCTGTTTTCAATAAAAAAGCTGAGTAATTACAGCAGCCTCTCCTGGGGCTCACATGCGGCCCAGCACAAAGCCAATGGAACATTAAGGACACTGAATGAGCTGCCAGAAGCCCTTCAGCATTGGGCTGCCAAACTGCTCCTCCTCCCCCAGCTCAGCGTCATTAACTTAATCAGGTATTCATTCAATAAAAAAAAATTGACACTCCCTGGATGTAGGCAACACCCTCTGAATGAGGCACACTGTCAAATTGACTGCATCCGGCAGGAAGTGTGAGGGCGGTTCTATATTCTTTTAATTATTTATTTATTTATTTATTTTGAGACAGTAGCCAGAGCTGGAGCGCAGTCACGTGATCCCAGCTCACTGCAACCTCCGCCTCCTGGGTTCAAGCGATTCTCATGCCTCAGCCTCCTGAGTAGCTGGGATTACAGGCGCCTGCCACCATGCCTGGCTAGTTTTTGTACTTTTTTCAGACAGGGTTATATCATGTTGGCCAGGCTGGTCTCAAACTCCTGACCTCAGGTGATCCGCCCATCTCGGCCTCCCAAAGTGGGAGTGAGCCACCGCTTGGGATTACAGCCCTGAGCCACCACGCTCAGCCTATTTAATTTATTTTTAAATTTAGGGGCTGGGAAGATGGGAATCCTCCTCTATGCAGTAATCCTTGGACATGCAGTGGAAGAGAGGTTATAGTGAGCAGCTGCTGGTCACAGACTAAAGAGAAGAAACACCTTGCTCCCTCTTTGCATTTAGAAGCATTAACACTTGATAATATCGTTCTGACTCCTGAGCAGGAAGCACATAGTTGATTCAGTGTCATGTTAGACCGGGCTAACTGGCATTTGATAACTCGTGACTTTAGGAAAGTCTTTCAATTTTCTCTCCCTCTTTTTTGTCGCCGGGTCTCACTCTGTCACCCAGGCTGGAGTGTAGTGAGAGGTGACAGCATACTGGCAGCCCTCACAGCCCTCACTTGCTCTCTGCGCCTCCTCTGCCTGGGCTCCCACTTTGGCGGCTCTTGAGGAGCCCTTCACCCCGCCGCTGCACTGTGGGACCTCTTTCTGGGCTGGCCAAGGCCAGAGCCGGCTCCCTCAGCTTGCGCGGAGGTGTGGAAGGAGAGGCGTGGGTGGGAACCCGGGCTGCGCGCGTTGCTTGTGGGCCAGCGCGCGTTCCAGGTGGCTGTGGGCTCCGTGGGCCCCGCACTCGGAGCAGCGGCGGACCCCGCCGGCCCTAGGGCAGTGAGGGGCTTAGCAGTTGGGCCAGCAGCCGCTGTGCTCAATTTCTCGCCAGGCCTTAGCTGCCTTCTGGCGGGCAGGGCTCGGGACCTGCAGCCCGCCATGCCTGAACCTCCCCCTGCCCCTCCGTGGGCTCCTGTGCAGCCAGAGCCTCCCCGACGAGCGCCGCCCCCTGCTCCACAGCGCCCAGTCCCATCGACCACCCAAGGACTGAGGAGTGCGGGCGCACGGCACTGGCAGGCAGCTCCACCTACTGCCTCTGTGAAGATCCACTAGGTGAAGCCAGCTGGGCTCCTGAGTCTGGTGGGGCCTTGGAGAACCTTTATGTCTAGCTAAGGGATTTTAAATACACCAATCAGCACTCTATATCTAGCTCAAGGTTTGTAAACACACCAATCAGCACCCTGTGTCTAGCTCAGGGTTTGTGAATGCACCAATCCACACTCTGTAACTAGCTACTCTGGTGGGGACTTGGAGAACCTTTATGTCTAGCTAAGGGATTGTAAATACACCAATCGGCACTCTGTATCTAGCTCAAGGTTTGTAAACACACCAATCAGCACCCTGTGTCTAGCTCAGGGTTTGTGAATGCACCAATCCACACTCTGTATCTAGCTACTCTGGTGGGGACTTGGAGAACCTTTGTGTCGACACTCTTTATTTAGCTAATCTAGTGGGGCCCTGGAGAACCTTTGTGTCTAGCTCAGGGATTGTAAATGCACCAATCAGTACCCTGTCAAAACAGACCACTGGGCTCTCTGTAAAATGGACCAATCAGCAGAACATGGGTAGGGCCAGATAAGAGAATAAAAGCAGGCTGCCCGAGCCAGCAGTGGTAACCTTCTCCGATCCCTTTCCACACTGTGGAAGCTTTGTTCTTTTTGTCTTTGCAATAAATCTTGCTGCTGCTGTTCACTCTTTGGATCTATACTGCCTGTATGAGCTATAACACTCACCGGAAAGGTCTGCAGCTTCATTCCTGAAGCCAGTGAGACCATGAACCCACAGGGAGGAATGAACAACTCCAGACATGCCGCTTTAAGAACTGTAACACTCACCGCAAGGGTCCACGGCTTAATTCTTGAAGTCAGTGAGACCAAGAACGCACCTAATTCTGGACACAGTAGCACAACCATAGTTTACTGTAGCCTCGACCTCCCTGTGCTCAAGTGATCCTCAGCTTCCTTAGTAGCTGGGATTACAGACTTGTGCCGCCACATCTAGCTACATTTTAAACTTTTTTATTCAGATAGGGTTTCATCACGCTGTGCAGGCTGGTCTCAAACTCCTGGGCTTAAGCGATCCTCCCATTTTGGCTTTCCATAGTGTTAGAATTACAGATATGAGCCACAGCACCGGGCCCATTCAACTTTCTAAGCTTTGATTTCCTCTTTAAGAAAATGAAGATAGTATGGCGAGGCACGGTGGCTCACACATATAATCCCAGCACTTTCAGAGGCCGAGGGGGGGCAGATCATGTGAGATCCAGAGTTCGAGACCAGCCTGGTCAATGTGGCAAAGCCCCGTCTCTACTAAAAATACAAAAAAAATTAGCCGGGCTTGGTGGTGAGTGCCTGTAATTCCAGGGAGGCTGAGGCAGAAGAATCACTTGAACCCGCGAGGTGGAGGTTGCAGCGAACCAAGATTGTACCATTGCACTCTAGCCTGGGCGACAGGAGTGAAACTCTGCCTTAGAAAAAAAAAAATGAAGATAGTAATACGCCTTATTTCATGAAGTTGTTATGAGAATTGCATGGGACAATTCAGTGCCTAGCATGCAAGCAGGCAGTAGTGCCTCAAAAAATGCTACCTCTCATGATGAACTGCTTTCCAGTTCAAACTACCTCCTATGACTGCTGCAGCAAACAGCACAGGCCTGGGATCTAGGCCACCTGATTTGGAATCCTGGTGGCCTTACTCCTCAGCTGTGTATATCTGATGCAAGTTAATTAATTTCTCTGATCTAAGTACTAACCAGGCCTAACTAATTCATTTCTCTGTGCCTCAGTTTGCTCATCTCCAAAGTGGGAATAATACTAGTTCCTACCCCACAGGCTTGCTGTGAGTTCACACATAAGAAGAATTTAGATGAGGGCCTGGCGTACTCAAGACCTACAATTACTGGCTGTGGTTGTTCCGATTATTTTCTAAGAAAGGCCCTCTTCTCTACCTCCTTCACTGTGGTCCTATTTTCATCTGCATAAAAAAATCACATTTTCAGGCTGGGCATGGTGGCTCACGCCTGTAATCCCAGCACTTTGGGAGGCTGAGGCTGGTGGATCACGAGATGAAGAGATCGAGACCATCCTGGCCAACATGGTGACATCTTGTTTCTACTAAAAATACAAAAATTAGCTGGGCATGGTGGCACGTGCCTGTAGTTCCAGCTACTCGGGAGGCTGAGGCAGAAGAATCACTTGAACCCGGGAGGCAGAGGTTGCAGTGAGCTGAGATCATGCCACTGCACTCCAGCCTGGTGACAGAGCGAGACTGTGTCTCAAAAAAGAAAGAAAGAAAAAAAAAAAACACATTTTCCTCCCTAGAATTCTTTCTCAGGTTACTTCCTGCATCATAGACACCAGTCAGCTCCAGCAAAGATGGTGAATGGAATAATCTCTCATTAAAAGTTTCCCTGCCTCACTTCCCTTCATGAGGCATTTCAAGTCTTACCGGTTCAGAAAGTTTACTAAGTCTCTAAAATTGTCTTCTTTTAGAAAATACTCCACACTAGTGCACTGATTTTTTTTTCCCCCTAAACTGGACCAAAGCCTTGTTTGCAGAACAAATGGTCAATTACATCTACATTCAAAAATAAAATTCAAATGTGCTCATGTTTTCAATTTAAGTATGTCTGTTGTTTGCTGTTTATTCCTTTGGTATAAATAGAAGCTTTCTGGCTTATTTGAACGCAGAACACATAGTACACTGTTTAGATACAATTATTCATTATAAATTAAATCAATGCTTTTCCTTTTTAGAATACCATGCCCTAACTAGAATCTCTACAACATTATAAAAACATAAAATATGACTAACGATTTAATTTAAGGCCCTAATTCCCAATGAAAGATAAATAATGCTGCTGTAGGCACCAATGACTGTAATCTAAACAGGCAATAAAATATTTAATGGACAAGCGGAAATGCAAAAAAAGTAAGGCAGTCTCCTGTTTACAACAAAGCTCATTTTCTATACTAGCACTGTGGACGTGGAAGATGCAGTTAACCTCTGTAAGCCTCAGTTTCCTCATCTGGAATATGTGAATGATGATAATACGTTTTCAAAAGATTGTTGAGATGAAATAAAAGCAACTATAATGCCTAGCATAAGAAAAAAAATCCAGGTGTGTTCTTCTTCCTGAACTTCAGTCTCAGCTCAAGAGTCTGTGAGGAATTTCCACTTGGATGCTTACCACCCCTCTCAAATCAGCATGCACTCCGGTTCCATATTTCTGCTAACGGTTTTGCACCATTTCTCCAAGCATAGGCCAGAGCCTGATATTTGATACCTCTCTCGCACTTCACTCCTATATCCAGCGACTCCCCTAATTGTGTCAGTCTTTCTTCAAAATGTCTCAACTCTTGGGGTGAAGCTTGAAGTCTCTCTTTTTCCCATATTTACTGTGTAGGAAAGAATTTGGCTTTGGCCAAAGACGGGTCTGCCCTTTGCCCTTGGCTCCTGGGAAATGATCTATGTGATATCTGATAGTGGTGTCCCTATTTGTGGGGAGGGAAGGATTTTCAGTCACAGCAAATCACCGAACCCAAGCCTTGGTTTCCTCATTTTAAAATGGGAATTGGCTGGGTGTGGTGGCTCACACCTGTAATCCCAGCACTTCAGGAGGCCGAGGCAGGAGGACTATGTGAGGCCAGGAATTCGAGACCAGCCTGGGTAACAAAGTGAGGCCTGTCTCTACAAAATAATAAAAAAATTTAGGCAGGTGTGGTGGTGCATGCTTGCAGTCCCAGCAACTTGGGAGGCTGAGGTGGGAGGATTGCTTGAGCCTAGCCTGGGAGATCAAAGCTGCATTGAGCTGAGATCGCGGCACTGCACTCCAACCTGGGAGACAGAACAAGACCCTGTCTCAAAAAATAAAGAAAATGGAGATAATAACACGTACCCTACAGGGTTAGGGTGATGACTAAATGAGATGCATTCAACAAATGTGAGGTAGAAAAAACTTCTCTTATTCAGCAGGAACTTTATCAATGTTCATTTCTTTTTCTTTTATAATTATGAGAACATGAAGGAAATGGGCAGAGGATTCCAGCAGAATTCTGCCAAGATTTTCAGTCTTTTCCTGATTGGCAGCAGAGCATTTCCATTTTCATTTTGAGTTTTGCTGGTATTCTTCTACTAAGAAACCAATTTTTCCCCCAGTGAATGTTTTTTTAATTTCAGGGTTTTTTTTTTTTTTTGAAACAAGGTCTCACTCTGTCATACAGGCTGGAGTGCAGTGGCCCAATCTTGGCTCACTGTAGCTTCGACCTCCCAGGCTCAAGCCATCCACCCACCTCTGCCTCTTGAGTTGCTGGGACTACAGGCGCATGCCACCACGCCCAGCTAATTTTTGTAGTTTTTGTAGAGACGGGGTTTCACCATGTTGTCCAGGCTTGTCTTGAACTCTTGGGCTCAAGAGATCTGCCTGTCTCAGCCTCCCAAAGTGTTGGGATAACAGGCATGAGCTACCACACCCAGCCCATTCTTGAGTATGCTGGATCAATATTTCTCCTTGTAATGTAATTCCAACAGAAGGGAAACCAGGCCTCCTTTCAGTATCGCAGCTTGAGCCTGTCAGCATCCCCTGATTTCAGAACGTAGGCTACAAACAGTCCCAGATGTGTGCTGACGGTACTACATTCCTGGTCTTTCACAGCATTTACTTTGGATTGGGAAATGGGAAGTGAGGTCTCTCTTTCAGTATGAGATTATTTCTTAGAACAGGTTAGTTTGGCCTTTGCTAAAATATAAATAAGCAGAGGCTTCCATCAGAAAAACATCTGAGTGTTAAGTAGATAAATGCATCCCTTCAACATTGAGACATTTTATCTCCACATCTGATGCACTCTTATTTTTTCATCAGGACACGTTCCAGAAACTTGGATCTTTTTCCCTGCTATAGTTTCGCGAATAATATAGTTTGCTTCTATTTTGCTCTGGTTAACCCAAGGGATGGTGGGTGGGATGATGAAAAGCAGCAATAAGGCAGTGACTGAGTCTCAATCTATAACGTTTCCAACGTAGAAGATAAAATGAACCCATAATAAACATATTTGGGAAAATATACAAAGAACTTCACAGAAAGCTCTCAACGGAGAGCCTGAAGGGACCAGCCAGGGAGTCTAATGCAAGCCAGGAACAGCCAGGCATGAGTAATGCCTTAGATGGGTGGGTTTTGTTTTCTTTCACAGCTGATTTGAAACTTCCCTCAATGACACTGTAGAAGATAATGTTTTAACAAAACGCATGGATTTACAAGCTTCCTCACACTCAAGCCGACAGAGCATCACACGAGGCTCTGTCTGGTAGTCTCCACATCTCAGGCTGGGCTGGATGGAAGGAAATGATCACAGCAAGGGAATTTAAAGGAAATGACCACAGCAAGGCACATCGAGGGCTCCCTTTGTGGCTCAAAAGAAGCATCATGGCAGAGTTATTGTCAGATTTCAGTACAATAGTCCCCGCCTTATCCATGAGGAATAGGTTCCAAGACCCCCAGTGGGTTCCTGAAACCCACTGGATAGTACCAAACCCTATGTACGCTATGTTTTTTTCCTATATATACATACCTACGATAAAGTTTGATTTATACATTAGGCACAGTATGAGATTAATGATAATAGCTAATAATAAAATAGAACGATTGTAACAGTATGCCAGCATCACTAAGTGCTTTGGGACCATCATTAAGTAAAATAAAGGTGACTTGAACACAAGCACTTCCATCCCACCACAGTGGATCTAAGCACCAAGATGGCCGCTAGGTGACTCACCGGCGGGGAGCGCTGCGCAGCGGACAAGCTGGAGAAAGGGACGATTCACGTCTGCGTTAGGATGGGGTAAGGCGTGAGATTTTATCATGCTACTGAGAACAGCACGCAACTTAAAACTTAGGAACTGTTTATTTCTGGAATTTTCCATTTCATACTTTCAGTCTGCAGTTGGCCTCAGAAATCAACCTGCGGATAACGGGGGACGTCTGGCTGCGGTGTTCTAGGAAAATACTCCACACTAAACTAAAGGAGGTGTCTCAACAAGGCTGAGAACGAGGTCTATGACAGAAATGTGCCAAGAAAGCAGAAAGGAAAAGCGCTCATAGAATGGGGAATGCTGCTGGTTGGTTAGTGGCTTCAGAAAGGTGTCTGATTCTCTTAACAAGCAATTACAGGAGGCCCGGCATGGTGGCTCACACCTGTAGTCCCAGCACTTTGGGAGGCTGAGGTGGGCGGATCTTGGGGTCAGGAGTTCGAGACCAGCCTGGCCAACATGCCAAAACCCCCGTCTCTACTAAAACTACAAAAATTAGCCAGGCATGGTGGCTTGTGCCTGTAATCCCTGCTACTCAGGAGGCTGAGGCATGAGAATCACTTGAACCTGGGAGGCGGAGGTTGCAATGAGCTGAGATTGCACCACTGCACTCCAGCCTGGACGACAGAGCAAGACCTTGTCTCAAAAAAAGCAAAAAACAAAAAACCACAATTACAAACACACTTGGCCATTAAACTTGAAGCAGTGAAAAACAGCTTCGTCTACGAGAATAAATAAATAAAAACTGCTACAGGCATTATGCTTTAAGATCACAATCGTGCATGAGGACATTACAGTGAGGGTCCCCTGAGTCGATAATCAGAAATACATGTGATGCTGTAAAAATACACATCCTCTGTAGTTTCCCAAGATTGTGTAGGTCTGGGCTGGGACCTAGGAATCTGTATTTTAAAAATCTCTTTTGGTGATTCTGATTGGCAGCTAGGTTGGGGAACTACTACACTAGACCTGTGCTTCTTAACCTTGGCAGCACAGGAGAATCACCTGGAAAGATTTTGAAAAGTCTTGCCGGTCACACCACACTCCAGGCCACTGAACTCAGAACCTATAGGGTCGGAGTGGGTATCAGTGATTTCAATGTGCAGCCATGGTTGAGAATCAGTGCAGTGGACCCTCAGTTCCCTGACGGAGGAACATATTCATGTATGTACCTCCCTAAAACAGTGCCCTCCACAATAAAGCCAGACCCCCTTCCTTCTATCTTATTTCACTTATTTTTTTTTTTGAGATGGAGTCTCGCTCTGTCGCCCAGGCTGGAGTGCAGTGGTGCAATCTCGGCTCACTGCAACCTCTGCCTCCTGGGTTCAAGCGATTCTCCTGCCTCAGCCTCTCTAGTAGCTGGGACTACAGGTGTGCGCCACCATGCCTGGCTAATTTTTTGTATTTTTAGTAGAGACGGGATTTCACTGTGTTAGCCAGGATGGTCTCAATCTCCTGACCTCCTGATCTACCTGCCTCAGCCTCCCAAAGTGTGGGGATTACAGCCACCGCACTCGGACCCTTCTATTTTATAAAGCTGGGTTACACATGGAATTTGTTTGTATTAAACCAAGCTTTTCCCAGAAAACAAAATCGAGTCCTTTTAAACAAAGTTTTTAGATATTTAGAGGATAATATAATTATCTACACTTTGAGGGGTGAGAGCTCTAAAAAGAACCTTAGTTGCTTGGAGGCAACAAGTAGATCAAGAGGAAAGACCAACAGGTGCCTGACATCCTCTCTGGGTTGTTCTTCTGATTTGTGATGGGTACAAGAAATATTCATCACAAATGTCAGGTCTCAGATTTTCTGATATGCAAGAAACTCTACAGAGTGGAGCAGCAGCCATGTGGTCTTGTAGCCTATGGTCAGAGCACAGAAAATACCTCCAGCATAGCTGGAGACTGGCCAGAGGCCCTGACAGCTGCACACTGTGTCCTGTAACATATTTGACTTTAGGGCACCTTGCATTTCTGCATCACACTGTGCACATCTTTCTTTTTCTCCTCTCTTGGTGGAGAGGTATTTATTTTAATTACGAAGTCCTCTATTATGTATGGTGAACTGTTTAACTCTGGGGCAGTTGAACTGCCTCAAACTAGGCTGCATAAAACAGAAGGAAGGTCCACAGCCATCTTCCCTTGGACTGGCCTGGGCTTGCTTCAGTTTGCTGAGAGCAGAACCCAGCTTGGATGCCCACAGATGCCGCTGTACTTTTGCACAAACTTACATACAGAGCACCTAAAACCAGGGGCACCTAAAACCAGTAGTGGTAATCCAATTTTACGGAAAACTGCAGCAGGAATTTGCTGCCACCTTCCATTTTCCCCAGCACTAAGAACACCTACTTTTAGTGACAGGTGACTCATCTGCCACTCTTCTAGCAGGCTCTTCTAAGCGAAGACACAAACAAGAGCAGTGTCGACCCTGATGGATGAGCTTGGTGGGGGAGGAGAAGCCCCATGGATAAGAAAGGGATGACATTTTTCTCTGCTCAATCTTCCCCTTCCTGCAGGAATACTCACCCACCCTTTTTTTTTTTTCTTTTTTGAGACGGAGTCTCGCTCTGTCGCCCAGGCCGGTGTGAAGTGGCACGATCTCGGCTCACTGCAACCTCTGCCTCCCAGGTTCAAACAATTCTCCTGCCTCAGCCTCCTGAGTAGCTGGGATTATAGGCATGCGCCACCACGCCCGGCTAATTTTTTTCTATTTTTAGTAGAGACGGGGTTTCACCGTATTGGCAAGGCTGGTCTTGAATTCCTGACCTCAGGTGATCCACCCGCCTTGGCCTCCCAAAGTGCTGGGATTACAGGCGTGAGGCACCACGCCCAGCCCCTCACCCACCCTTTTGATGGGCAACTTGAGCTGCCCTCTCCTGCTTATTCCTGTAACTGCAAACACGTCTTGCTCCAACCACCACTTCTTAAAACTGCAGATGAAGGGCTGACTCTGGGCATGCCATTGGTTGGGCTCGTTCCTTCCCCGCGACCATTCTCCTCCTGAGAGCTCTGAAGTCATTACATCGAAGTAAGTAATTTAGACACATTGCCTCTAATATTCCTCTTGCTCACATCTGTGAAGTTTAGCAAATAAAGCAAATGTCTGAATTTCCTATCTCTGGACATACAGGGAAACACTGAAGAAGTGATGTCCTCTCTTCTTCCTACATTTCCTGCCCACGGCACTCTTTGCACAAAACCTCAGTAAAAAATCGTGGCACAGGTCACGGATTTTCTTCCTCCTCCCTGCTTATTCTATGACTCAGAAGGTTCAAAGCAAAGGTTTTTGACCTAATTTGGCCTTAAGTCAGAAAAGGTTCCACTGCTGTCTCACACTGAGTTTCAAAGCAAAGAAGAAATGGAACAGGGCTGTATTTAATTCTGAATATAATCTCTTTGCTGTTGGCAATGTTATGGGAATAGTAATGAATTTTTGCTTTCCATGAATAAATTTTTCAGAATCTAAAGTTGAGGCTCACATAATTGTTAGTATTTTCCCCACAGTGTTTTTCAATTTTCCTTGGAAGGGAAGTAGACTGAATTACAATACCTCAGTTTCTCATTTTGTAAGCTGCCAAGAACAGTATGAACTGTCCTGGAACTAAAGAAACATAAGGACAAATGATACCAGGAAAGCCGTTTGAAATTCTTTGGGGGAAAAGCATATAACTTATGCAGACCACCCTGGGTTATCCAGTTTTTAAAAATCCCTGCATACTAGACAAACTTCTTTTGGACCACGTTTCTTTCCTAAGAGAAGCTTGAAGACAGCAAACTAATTTTCAAATTAGGCATTTGTCAAACATTTTTAGGAAGATGAATCTTGAGCAAAACAAACTTTTGATTATATTCAAAAAACACCAAAAAAATTCTGGAGATCTAGATTGGGAAAGCAGGGGTCATATAAAAAGCTAATATGGAGGACTGTGGTGACAATCAGACCATAATACGGACAGTAATATGTACACCACACCACCTCTTTATATTCTTTTCACCAACAGTCTCAAATGCTGGTTTCAGCATAAGGCCAAGAAACCCAAATCTATATGGAATTTATGCAAATTCCACATCGATTTATATTCATTTATAGTTATTCCATTTATAAAATGCAGCTTATTTTATAGGTGGCGAAACAGGCCTAGAGACAAATATGCACTACTAAGGTCCTATGGGTTTGAGACATTTTTATTTTTATTTTATTATTTTTTATTTTATTTTATTTTATTTTATTTATTTTATTTTATTTTTTTTTGCTTTTTGAGACGCAGTCTCACTCTGTCACCCAGGCTGGAGTGCAGTGGCGTGACCCCGGCTCACTGCAACCTCTGCCTCCCGGGTTCAAGCGGTTCTTCTGCCTCAGCCTCCTGAGTAGCTGGGACTACAGGTGCCCGCCACCATGCCCGGCTAATTTTTGTATTTTTGGTAGAGGCGAGATTTCACCATGTTGGTCAGGCTGGTCTCAAACTCCTGACCTCAAATGATCCACCCACATCGGCCTCCCAAAGTGCTGGGATTACAGGTGTGAGCCACCATGCCTGGCCAAGACATTTTAATTAAATGCTTAACCGAGTCCAGAATTTGATCTTTCTAACTCCACATCCATTACACTTTCCACTCTACACCATGGCTCCCCGTGCAGAAGACTGCAATCCAATCAGCTCAGTTCCCAGAGGGTCTAGACTCAGGTAGCGACAATAAACATGGAAGAGAGACAAAAAATTGGCAAGGCTCGAGGAATGATTGATGGAAGCTGGGTTGAACCAAAGGAGTGGGAGCTCTCAGGTGGGAATAGGAAAGGTACAACTGCAATAAGATACACAGAATGGACAGAGTGCTAAGCTAGAGGAGGGGCAGATAATAAAGCTCGTTAATAAAGATAGTAAGACCCATTTAGCTTTACGTGGCTCTAAGATAAACATACAGGAACTCTCCTGAAAGGACCAAGAGTAGGTAAGGGAACGGGGTGACAGAAGCAGCACCAGTACCCGGGAGGGAAGCTGACACTGGGAGAAATATCCAAGAAAGGCAATCAAAAGGCAAGAAGAGCAAACACCTACCATAATTTTGGTTAGAGAGAGGAAAAGTAGTCAAGAAGGGCGAAGATGCAAAAATGGCCATAATAAAAAAAATGATAGATATTGATGGGGATGTGGTGAAACGGGAACACTTTTACATTGCTGGTGGGAATGTAGACTAATACAACCACTATGGAAAACAGTGTGGAGATTCCTTAAAGAACTTAAAGTAGAACTACCATTTGATCCAACAATCCCACTACTGGGTATCTACCCAGAGGAGACGTCTTATGAAAAAGATACTTGCACATGCATGTTTACAGCAGCACAATTCGCAATTGCAGAAATATGGAACCAGCCCAAATGCCCATCAATCAATGAGTGGATAAATTATTGTATGTATATATCACAGAATACTACTCAGCCATAAAAAGGAACAAAATAATAGCATTCACAGCAACCTGTTTGGAACTGGATACCATTATTCTAAGTGAAGTAACTCAGGAATGGAAAACTGAACACCGTAATGATGGCAGTGGCTGCTGCCATCAAGCTGGCTGCGCGGCTGGTGCTGCATACTCCATGGAGCTGGTGGCAGCCCTGTTCATTCCGAGTTGGGATGGGAGCTCCGCGTGCCACTGCAGCCACCTGAACTGCAGCTGCAGACCCAGGCCTCCTGCTCCACAGAGCAAGCAGGAGCCCCGCCCTCTTGGGGCCACAGCCACCCAAACTGCAGCTGTAGATCCGAGTCTCCCTGTGCTCTTGGGGGAGCCTGGAACAGGCAGGATCTGCCTTCCCAGGTGCAGCTGCAGCTGCCGCACCCACGGCTGCAGACCTGGGCCTCCCATTCCAGGAAGCAGGCAGGAGCCAGGAACAAGCGGGAGCCCTGCCCCTTCCGAGTTGTCAGGGCGGGAGCTCCCGGGTGCAGCTGTGGCCAACCCTCCCAGGCACAGGACCTGGGCGTCTCTGCAGCCTGCACCCTTGGGCGCCCCAGGAAGGACCCTCCCCATCTCTGCATGCTCAGATGTGTCTGCGCCCACTGCCTGGCCTCTCTCCGTTCCAGGCACCCACTCAGATCTCAGAGCTGGGTTGGGGCCAAGCCCCGGGGCCATGAATGGCAGCAGGAGGAAGACAGGGTCCGGGGCAGAAAAGAGGGGAGTCCCCAATTAGGCCCCACCTTCAGGCGAGGGAGGGCCTGAAGGCTGGGGGCCGGGCTGCCAGTCCTGCCGACCAGAGTGGGGACTCGTGGTGCCTCTTCCGTCCACCCATGGCCACCCATGGACCAATTGGCACATACTTCCTCCCCTCTGAGGTCCATAAAAGCCCTGGGCTTAGCCACAGCAGGCAGGAGGATGGCCAGGGACAAAGGGGGCAGAGAGAGAATGGGACTGGATGACCAGTTGCAGAGAGGAGTACCCTCTCTGCTGATAGCTGGAGACGATGGGACAACCAGCTGCAGAGATGACCTGCTGGCAGAGAGGAGCTACCCTCTCTGCTAAGAGGAGTGCTTCAGAGACCTGCAGAATGACTTGCCTGCAGAGAGGAGCCACCCTTTCCAGGGCCTCCTCTCTGCTGAGAGCTGAACACTCAATGGGACGATCTGCTTATAGAGAGGAGCTCCCCACTCCTCCGAGTTGTTCTAACACTAAATAAAACTCTTCTTTTTCACCCTTCACATGTCTGTGTACCTCATTCTTTCTGGACGCAGGACAAAAACTTGGGCTTAAAAGGCGTTGCGGCCACAGAAGTTTCCCATCAGAAAAATTGACACCCCAGAGATCCTATAACAGTATGTTCTCACGCATAAGTGGGAGCCAAGCCATGAGGATGCAAAGGCCTCACAATGATACAGTGGACTTTGGGGACTTGGGAGAAAGGGTGGGAGGGGGGTGAGGGATAAATGACTACAAAATGGGTACAGTGTATAGTGCTCGGGTGATGGCTGCACCGAAAATCTCAGAAATCACCACCGAAGAACTTATTCATGTAACCAAACACCACCTGTTCCCCCAAAACCTATGGACGTAAAAAATAAAAATAAAAAAGACAGAAGAAAATTAAGACATCAATTATATTAAATGCAGCAGAGAAACAGAAAGACTAAGAATGGCCATTGGATTAGACCATGGGTTCTCAATATCTGCTGAATATTAGAAGCACCGGAGAGCTTCTACAAGACACTAACCCAGAATCTGAATTAATGCCCACTGGATTAAACTGTATGGTCAGAGATGACTTCAAAGAGAACAGCTCTATAGTCCTATTTTAAAGTAGGGGAACAGATATACCCAGTGACATCGGAAATGTGTTTTCCATTCCCAAGATTCAATATGTAAATTTGCATTATTATTTTATTTTTAAATTTACATATGTCAATGGGAAATAATGTGCTTGAATAACATATTCAGCATTTGAACATCTCATGCCTGGGATTACACTGGCTGAGCCTCCCACATCACGAAGCAAATGCTTGAATAAACATATGGGCTCTGAGAAAGTGCCCTCAGAGCCAGGGAACATGACTATATTTCAATTTAAGAGAAGTAAGCCTCTTGGAAAACACTGTTCCTCTTGTTTGCTCCCTCTTCAACGGGTTTTTAAGTCCAGGGCTCATTCCAAAAGTCCTTTAGCCAATCTTAGTTCCTCTAATCGTAACATATTCAGTGAGAAAGGAGATCCTATAAGGTCAGGCAAATTGTTGTTAGAAATGTGATCCAGCAACTTTAGGTTTGAAGAAATCCAGTGGAGAAAACACACACACAAGCCCACGTCCACACCTCACATTCAGACCTGTCTGTCTCCATTATCCCAATACACCACTGGGGTCTTTCCCTGTATTCAGGAAGTGGGTTCTAGAACAGCCCTGTCCATTTGTAAGGAATAACACAAGGTAAGACGCCTGAAACTAGCAAGTGAGAAAGTCTTTACTTATTCTAAGTAAATGACTCCCAAGGACAAGATGTAGCTCGCAGCTTCTTCAGTGTTGCTGCACATTTACGACATACATTTAATTTATTTTAGCTAATGAAAATGCTCAATAGTGAATATGTCTGAGCCCCTATGGAGAATAAGTAGTGCAATACCCAAAGACATTTAACTGTCTCTGAGAGGCAAGAAGAATCTGTGTTAGGGGTGTGGCTCTATATATAGAGACATTAAATTCATAGCCAAAAGGGTAATAGTGATTATTACAAAATTCAGGGGTAACAAGGGTGAAAGAGAAAAGAGAGGGATGAGAGAACGTAATGTTTCCTTCACATTCTGTTTCTGAAACAGGATTCAAGCAGGACATTGTACCATTTGGTATTCATTATTTTCGTTCACGCACATGGCTAATTATTTCTACAGCATTCAGATCTCTTTAAAACAAACATGTTTTGCACATACACGCCCACCTTTAAAAATATGCCTTTTATCCCCTTTTCCACAGCCTTGAGGAAATATCTGATGGATTGTCTCAGGAGCAGTGTTTTGGGAATAAATGTAGATTATATGCTAAAAAAACGTAACTTGTCCCCTAAAACTTGCATAAACAAATCAAAGGACATTGTAGCATTTCGAGTATAAACAAAATGACTCTCAACTTAACTTGCAGATCTTTTTTTAATGTTCAGTAATAAATTTTACTCCCAGAAGATTACACTGTCCTCTCTCTTCCCAAACTTCTCCTCCTCCTACAATCCCCCAGTTGTTTTAATGTCAGATGCATAATTCAGTTGTCTGGCTTGAACTCATTATGGGAATCATTACATTTGATTTTCCTGTGAGGCCAGCCTTGACTGAGGGTCTTCTGATTCTAAATGGTCAATGTTTCTGTAGTGTCAGGAATCATTCTCTGAAAATGCTTCACCTTCTTGAGGCTGTGGGCATGTGGCCATATGAAAACATGTTGTGTGATTATCTGGTGAAATTGGGGGACTCCTCATCCAGCGAACTAGGAGGTTCTGTGTGTTCCTTCACCTGAATTGCTGGGTCTGACGTGTGGATGGCCTTTGTTCCCTTGCTGGGTGAGCCGGGTCAGCCCTGCTGTGTCTTGTCATAACTGTAGACATTCCGTAACTGGTGTTCATGTAACTGCTGGAGCTTGCTTCAAACCAAGGCAGAAACCCGTGACGATGGAGACCATTCTTGCCTTCCCCTCACATTAACCAGTTCGTGACTATGGAGAAACAGGGCAAGTAGCTCTTGATCTGACTGGACGGATGGCTTTGGAGACCAGGCTCTGAAGAGATGCTTGTAAAAATCTGGAGCTTAACACAAGAAGCTTAAAACAAGAAGCTCCTTTAAGTGTTGGAGCTTCAGAGAAAGGAGCCACGTTACCCATTTCAGAGCAGGGAGATTCCAGAGAAGTCACCTGGGTGTCGGCTTCTGAGCACTGTCTTCTCACGCTCACACTCCTCCTGTTCCTGGCCCCCACCCTCCCGCTCTCAGCAGTTACCCCCATTATCACCATCATCACTTCGCTCCCGCCCGGTCCCTCTCCTGTCATCACCCCCGCTCCGGAGTGAAAGAAAGGAGACACCTTACCACGGCTCTTCCCACCAGCAGCACCAGGAAGCTGCTACTGCCATTTCTATTTAAATGGATAGGGATGTTGGGCAGAGAGACACTTTCGGAGCCTGTAAGTTTAAGTGTTCAGATCATTCTTTGCAGAATATAATGTGAACATCTTGCTCTTGCTTGTACTGTAAAAGGTTCTCTATTCATATAGATGTGATATTCAGTTTATGTATAGGTTTACATTTCAGCACTAAATCTCCCACCCACTCATGTCGCAAACCTTTATGGAGTGCCTACTACATATTAGTGATGAGCAGTAGGAATAATAACAGCTAATACCTACAAAGCACTTTCAGTCTGCTAGGGCTTTGCATGGAGCCGCTCATTTAAGTAAGCACTCTTCTAGTTGCCATGATACCATCTAATTAAATGAGGTGCTTCACAGACACAAATATACAGCGATATAATCTATATGTATGCTGTTCCTTTATAACGGAATCTTCCCCATTGCCATCCCTACCCTGCCTACTTTTCTCAGATCCCTTATCATGTTATTTCACCCCAACAGACTTTTTCTGGAAAAATGATTGCTTACTACATGTCAGTTGGCTGTTCACAGTTTCAGAAATACAAGTGGAGAAACTTGGAAAACAGCATCTATCAACTTCTAGATCTAAGCTCTCTGAGAGCAAGAACTATGTTTTTTCTTCTCCATCCTAAGGCCGTGGCACTGTGCCTGATACATATTTGATAGGTGCATGCTAAGTATGTGTTACATAAATTAATTCCATGATGTGCCATATGCTAATATCCTGTCTAGTAATAACTGCTGAGGACTTCAGAATATTTGCTGACCAGGTTGTCCTGGTGTCTGATACTCCACTGAAGGACAAAACAAAATTGATCATTGATTCAAGGTTCCACTAAGAGTAAATAAAGTGTGATGTGGTATGGAAGCCATGGCATAAATAAGAAAAGTTGATGCTCTTTGACATGAATTGATCTGTTCAGCACAATCTAACCAAAGAACAAGGCAAAGTTTTCCTTCAAGCATAGAATGAGTTCCCTCTGGGATTTATAAAGTGGACCAGTACAGAGGGGGCATGGCTCCCACCCGTACCGTTTAAAACTAGTTGATTTTTAGTGTATTCTCCAATTTCACCTATCTTCCCCCTCTCAGCAATCTATTACGGATTTGTTTGCTGGAATGACTTGGAGTGGCAGGTGGGGTCAGGAGTGAGTTAGTAAGCATTTCGTTTCATCCCCAGTAAAGGGTAAGATGATTGAATCAGTCAGTCTGCTGAGATGGGGCCAGAGTTACCTGATAAATATTGGGGCCATGCCACTAGGTGAAATCTTTTCGTTAAGTGACTCTAAAATAAAATCCCAACCTAAAATTGCTGAGTCAGTGGGAATTTCTCAGGGAATCCATGTTCCGCTGGCTCTAGAAATGATTTTGATTATGAGACAAGGTATTTTGGCAGCAGGTGCTGGCTTTTATTTACCATGTTCAGAACTTGAAAGTGTCCAGTTCATTAAGTTCAAGAGCTGGAGTCGCTTAAAGGTAGACCCTGAATGATGCCTTAAGGACCCCCCACTGTATTTTCATTACACTAAACCATGGCACTTAGGCAGCCAGTAAAGCTGGAGTCAGAACTCTGATTCAGAGCACCTCATTTACAGAAAATAATTCCCCAAACTGAATTGCCTGAATTTGACTAAGTATAGGGCACCATTTTAAAAATGGCTTCATGCTGAGGTTCTAGATTTTTTTTTTTTGGAGATGGAGGCTCGTTCTGTCGCCAGGCTGGAGTGCAGTGGCGCGATCTCAGCTCACTGCAAGCTCCGCCTCCACGTTCACACCATTCTCCTGCCTCAGCCTCCCGAGTATCTGGGACTACAGGCACCCGCCACCACGCCTGGCTAATTTTTTGTATTTTTAGTAGAGATAGGGTTTCACTGTGTTAGCCAGGATGGTCTCGATCTCCTGACCTCGTGATCTGCCCGCCTCAGCCTCCCAATGTGCTGGGATTACAGGCATGAGCCACCGCACCCAGCCAGTTCTAGATATTTTGAGGTGGTAAGAATAAGGTATGGTTCCCCTACTGCTCAAGGATACTTGTTTCTCATGTGCCAGGGACCCAGGCATTGAGCCCAATAGAAAGCCATAGAAATAAGCCTGGATGTGATGCTATTCATGAATGTCACAGTCTCCTTAAACCCCATTTTATTAAACTGTTCAGGGATCCACTCGTTCAGATTATTCAACATTTACGTGCCAGGCACATCATGGTGGTGGGATATGAAGTAAAATGTGACTTGGTGCCTTGTCTCCTTCAAGGAGCTTCCAGTCCACAAGGGGCTAACAGGGAAATGAGTGGTGACTACAGCTAAAAGGCAGTTGCTCCTGTCTTCCCAGAATGGCGGTGATAAGCTAGAGGTATACCCAGGAGAGACAACCAGCAAAAGTGTGACACCTCAATCAGCACTGTTGTTTTCTTTTTCTTTTTTCATATATATATATATTTTATTACACTTTAAGTTCTAGGGTACATATGCACAATGTGCACGTTTGTTACATATGTATACATGTGCCATAGCAGAGCAAGGAGTTCCAAAACAGAATTACCGGTTTTCTTTTTTTTCTTATTGAGACAAAGTCTCACTCTGTTGCCCAGGCTGGAGTGCAGTGGTGCAACCTTGGCTTACTGCAACCTCTGCCTCCCAAGTTCAAGTGATTCTTCTGCCTCAGCCTCCTGAGTAGCTGGGACTGCAGGCACGCATCACCACGCCTGCCTAACTTTTTGTATTTTTAGTAGAGATGGGGTTTCACCATGTTGGCCAGGCTGGTCTCGAACTCCTGACCTCAGGTGATCCACCCACATTGGCCTCCCAAAGTGCTGGGATTACAGGCATTGAGCCACTGCGCCTGGCCGAATTATTGGTTTTCAAAGTGTTTCTTCTTCCTCTTCTTCATACTGTAAGAACATTCAAATGACATTTGGGGGCTTAACACCCCTTGGCTTTAGCCAGATGTGTCCATGGAAAAAAATGACATAACCAAATAGAAAATCTCTAGAAACATTATTTTACTTTTCATCTGTTTGTCAGTTCTAGTCAATGTAAAGCATAGACTACAGTCAAAGGGTGCATTCAGTCCCAAAACTGTTTACAAGCAGTGTTTAGGGAGGACAATGGGAATCTGCCTGGACCCAAACAACCTGTAATGACCTCATTTTTAAAAAATTACCTTTTCCTTCCCAGCTGTAGAAACTTCCTGCTGCTCTTCCACATTTATATAGAATTACCTGTGTCTACATCTATATATTAATCATTTCCACTTACATGCCTGCCTGTAATGGGTCTATTCAGAGTCCTATATATCTATATAGCCGTCTATCTATCTAATCCCCATATCTACTATTGTAAAATTTTTTTCTGCTTACTTCTTTTTTCCCCTGTGTTTCAACTCATTCTGATCTCTTCTCAGCATCAGAGATTATGTTTATTTTTGTGGCTAAATCTTGGTCTGCCCAACAGCAATCTTTAAAGAAACAATCTTGGATGTTTACCTTTTCTTACCTATGAGGCTTTGGTGATATATGGAAAAGGGGACCTCTATGGCAAGTTTCATGACAGGTCTGCTTGTTAAAAACAACAACAATAATAACAGTTCTAATACTATCTCCACCTTCCTGACCACTTGTCCTCTTGGAGGTCAGCTAGATGCTGGCAGTTCCCTAGGAAATGACATTATATTACCCAGAATACCACATTAATTCAGAACCTGCCACCTAGCTAACTTCTGGCTCTGGCACCCTATCCGCTGACCCCTTTGCAACAATCAGAAGCAGGAATGAATTTAGAATATAACAAAAGGGCCTCTTGGATTTTGTTAGTTGATCAAGAATCTCAGAGACACTTAAACTATATATGCATGAAATAAAATAGGCCAGGCTGGGCACGGTGGCTCATGCCTGTAATCCCAGCACTTTGGGAGGCCGAGGCAGGTGGATCACTTGAGGTCAGGTGTTGGAGACCAGACTAGCCAACATATTGAAACCCCTTCTCTATTAAAAATACAAAAATTAGCCGGGCATGATGGCGGGCACCTGTAATCCCAGCTACTCGGGAGGCTGAGACAGGAGAATCACTTGAACCCGGGAGGTGGAGGTTGCAGTGAGCCGAGACTACACCACTACACTCCAGCCTGGGTGACAGAGTGAGACTCTGTCTGAAAAAAAAAAAAAAAGAAAAAGAAAAAAACAGGCCCAAACCTCTAATCAACCCACATGTTACATGTTCACAAAAATATCCAATGGGGGTTCTGACCCAGAATATTAAAGTCCTGGTTTTAATGAGCTATGAAATGGGGAACTTAAAAAAATTACAAATGTGCAATTTCCTTTTATATTTCTTTGACTTTTAAGAACAATCTCATGCATAGAGCCCAAACTGGAGATCTGTAGCTTTTAGTGACTTTGTCTCTCAATTACCCTGGGGGAAGTTTCCTCCCCTGTCCTCCGACCTGTCTTAACAGACACAGACACATAGCATAATTCAATAGTGCTGCTGTTATTAGCAGCCTCTGTGAACCCGAGTAACCTTGCATACAAGTCTCATGGAAAGCACACATTTGCCAGTTGCTATTAATCATTGACATATTGATAGTGTGGGGGTAACACTGCGTATGCTGATACTGGGGAGGGGGCAGAGATGGGAAAGGGGCAGTTATAAATTGCTAAGTTATTGTGTTTATATTCAGCACATCTTGCAGCCAAGATTCTGTTTCTCTCTCTCTCTCTCTCTCTCTCTCTCTCACACACACACACACACACACACATACAGACACACACACAATCAGTGTAAAGATTCTGACCTATGCCTGGAAATACAATCCTAAGTCTAGATAAAGGGGAGAGCTAATGAAGGCTCACAGTTGAAGTTGTCTGATTTGTACACACCCAGCACACATTCAGACTCGATTGTATAGGTCAAATTTTCCCAGAAACATGCGATCACGGCTTTTTGAGCTCAAAACCTGTGGATAATTGTTGCTTACCCCAATATCCCACTTTCCTTCTTTTCCTTAGAAGTAGAAACCTTGGTTTTGAGGTAGACACATTGCTGCCCAACTGAATGACCTGATCTTCTTCTTGCCTTGCAAGAAGGTATGCCTAGACTTGCAAGAAGGTATGCCTAGCCTTGCAGCTAGGTATGCCTAGACTAAATTCTTGTTGACATGAAGTAAACAAAAATGTGGTATGGTTCCTCTGGCAAGTGTCTTTGGAAAGGGGGTAGGTCCTTCGTCTCTTCCTCCTTTCTGCTTTCTGGAATGGTAATGTTAAAGGCTAGAGCTATGCAGCCATCTTGTATGTGAGACATAGGCTGAGGCGGGTGCATCACTTGAGGTCAGGAGTTCGAGACCAGCTTGGCCAACATGTGAAACCCTGTCTCTACTAAAAAATACATAAAAATTAGCCAGACATGTTGGTGCGCACCTGTAGTCCCAGTTACTCGGGAGCCTGAGGCAGGACAATTGCTCGAACCCAAGAGGAAGAGGTTGCAGTGAGCTGAAATCATGCCACTGCACTCCAGCCTGGGAGACAGAGCAAGAATCTGTCTCAAAAAAAAAAAGAAAGAAAAGAAAAGAAATATACTACAGCATGGCAGAATAGAAAGGTGACAATGTTTCTGAGCCTGTGCAGTGACCATAATCACCCTGGACTGCTTACCTCTCAAAACCACTTTTATGTGAGAGAAAAATAAATGTCTATTTCTTTGGCTTGACTTCTTCTTCTTTTTTTTTTTTTTTTTTTTTTTTGGTGATATGGAACTGAACCTAATCCTAACTGTTACAAATAGACCTTAGAGGTCATAATAGACTTCATTTTACAGATTAGGAAACTAATGATTAAAGATCAACTTTGATAAATGTCTCAATCGGGAAGCAGAGTTGGCAAATTAATTACACTTCTGTTTAATCTTCTTTTTCTAAAGATAGATGATGAAGGTTCTATTTTATATGCCTATCAGTATCTGCTAAATGAATACGGTTTTATATTTCACATGTCTGTGAATTTCTGAACCTCTGAGGTCTTCCAACTGGCACATCTAATCCCAAGTCACACATATTCAAGGAATAAGCTATTAAATAATAAAAAATGTGATGAGGAATAGTAATGAACAGACTTGAGAAAATTTTCTTTTCCTGCTATGTTCATTAGATTCCACATGTCTTAATCTGCATCTTAGTACATAAATCTACAAAACTATATTAATTTTCACTGGTATTTTAGAAAGTGCTAAATGGAGATTTTCAAATTTGGGTGAAAAGTCAGTATCTGGAATGTTGAAAGGTATCTTTACTTCAATATGTGTGCAAGATAATCTATGCTGTAGCTGTAAAATATATCCCTGGATGCTTTTACAGAATAATACTGAAACACTCTCTGAAACTAATGGATATTGCTAAACTGACAAAACTCACTTATTAAATTCAATTAATGGGGACCAATAAATTAACCGCCTCTTCCTGGTGTTCGTCCGTGCCCCCTCCCAATCTTCACTCCCACAAATCATGCACTAGCCATTAAAAATAGAAGGAAACTTTCTTCCTCTATGTTAAAGTAACTTGAAATCATCTACCTTGTCTTCTAAAACTCCTCTCTTGTTGCTTTCTAAATATCCAAATGGAAAATGATCCTGGAGGAATGGGCAGTATGTGGTTTCCCCTATTCTACTAGTCTCCAACCCACACAGACAAAGAAACCCGATATCCAACAGAGGTTCTTCCCTCCTTCGTACCTCCACCCACATGGATGAATAAACCTGATCTCCAACAGAGGTTCTTCCTTTGGGCCTTCCCTCACGGTTATGGCCCAAAAAGCTAGAAAGGACAATGGGCATCCTTTCAGATAAAGAAATACGCTACAGAAATGAGCAGCAGAATCACAGTCCTGAACTCTGCAATAAATTTTTACTCATGCGGTAAATGCCCATGGACAGGGGTTAACCTCTAGCATTTGCACGCAGCCACCCGTTCGCTCTTGGCTCCTGGTAAGCACTTACAGGCATTTAAAGATGTGCAAAGGGTATAAGTCTTCAATGCTCTCTGCCCCTCATAAGCATCTCTGATAATATCCAACATCTACTTAAATGCTAGCTTACCTTAAAGATAAACTCTCCTTCTTTATTTCATTCCACCAGGACTGAACCCTGACTTGGGACTATTTGCCTTGAAAAATGAGTTTTCTCCAGCTCTGCAGAGGATGGCTGCTGTGTATAATGGTCTCTGAAATGCTAACGGAAGCCAAGAAATCACCTGACATGAACTATGAAGCTATTAGTTATGAAAAGCAATATCGATATTTACCTTCTAACTCTTCATGCTGGAGGGTAAAGCAGCACAACCTGGACGTGCCTGGTGCCGAGCCAACATAAAGAGAACATCTGCATCTTCCCTCCTCTACCATTTTTGAAATGGAAATAATGCTTATGGTGGTAATAATGTGGTGACTGTCGTTCAAAGCCCCTTCACACACATTATGATCTGATCTGCTCCTCCCAGGAATCCTGCATGAGGTGGATATCATGAATGTTATAATGTCCAGAAGCAGGAACTGATGTAGAAAGTTAAGTGATGTTCTCCAGGCGACCCCGACAGAGCCTGGCAGGGCTGCTGCTTTGACCCTGGAGTTGAGAGGAATTGTTCTTTCCACATCAACCCCCGCCGGACATATTTCAAAAATGCAACTGTTTTTCATTTGGGTCTATCTTTTCTTTGCTAATAGTAATCAAAGATCTAAAAGCTACAGATTTATCAAAGAACTGAAGCTACTAAAATTGTTTGCAGTGTCGTGAAAGAAACTGGCAAACACGATTTTAAGAAAAGAGGCAACTGTGACAGAAGAAATAAAAACTTGTGTTTAGGTTATCTTCAAAACTAATATTTCTAATGTACAATGCACAACTAAGATAGCTTTTTTCTGATATAAAAATAAAGTGTGATCATATGTGGAAACACAGAAAACTTAAAAAATATAAAACTGCTCCTAATATCTCCAACATGATATATCCACTATTTACATTTTGATTGTATTTTGGCATATATATATAATTTTCTTTTTTAAAGCTCACATATATCTATGCATGTTTACAAAGTTAGAATAATTCTGAATATATAATTTTGAATCAGTTCTTTCACTTAACATTGTATTGTAACTAGAATTATAAACTAGTTTTTTAAAGCTAGTTAAAGGAAGAATGAAGTAAAGCCAGAAAAACCTTAAACTACAGTTTGTAACTAACTGTAAAATCCAAAAGCACTTGGCAAATGGTAAGGAATTTGGACACATAAATTAATGGAGCTAAATATTAATCAGTGAGCAAATATTAATTGAGTCTTAAAGAGCTGAAATTATTCTAGGAGCCATGCCTGGGATGTCGTGGTGGCTAAGATGGAGTCCCTACTATTGGGAGCATAGAGTGTCAGAAATTAAGAGAATGCAATAAATTCCAGTAGAGATGGGCTCAATTTGCTTTCACACCAACTAGAATGGTGTGAAAGAATGGTTTGCAAAGCAAATGAATGATGCATACCATCGTCTAAGAATAGCACTTAATTTACTTACAAGAAGGAACTGTTTTAATTGGTTTAAAAATACTCACTACACACAAATATTTTGTTAATTAAAAATGAGTACCTATTTGAACACTTATGTGAACTAAATAGGAGCTAATACATGAGATAAAAATTATGTAGTTACAATTTTTTTTTTTTTTTGCTTTTCATTAATTGAATCAGACTGGACTTTCTCCAAGCATGTGAATGAGTGAGGATTTATTGTACCATGCAAAAACTTAGGATCTTTACAGGTTTTATTATTTGTATTTAACACTAGTTCCATTTCAGCTGGTCAGATAAGAAGAAATGTGATAGCAAAAGATATGCAAGATGTTAATCTGCTCTTAAAAAAAAGAAACCAATATTTGACCTGAATTGATACAAGTGTTTTCTTTTTTTTGAGCCGAGACAGGGTCTTGCTCTGTTGCATCTAGAGTGCAGTGGTGCAATCATAGCTCACTGCAGTCTCAAACTGCTGGCTCAAGTGATCCTCCCATCTCAGCTTCCTGAGTAGCTGGGACTACAGGCATGCCACTATGCCTGGTTATTTATTTTTATTTTTATTTTTATTTTTATTTTTATTTTTTTCAGTAGAGATTGGGTCTTGCTATGGTACCTAGGCTGGTCTCAAAATCCTGGGCTCAAGTGATCCTCCTGCCTTAGCCTCCCAAAGTGCTGGAATTACAGGCATGAGCCACCATGCCCAGCCCATACAGGTGTTTTAATTTGGTTTAATCCCAAATGTCTACAGAGGTCACAGGACTTTACATATTTCTTTGACTTCTTTCTCTACTGGATCATGTGTTATTGTAAAATTTCTTTATGTGTGATTAAACCCAGGGCAAGCCAGAGTCAATAAATCAGTTACATGTATGTGATATTGTTGATACACATTTTTAAAATTGCTTTTTAGAAAATCAACAAATTAAGGCACTTTGCAAATCCAATCTATTTTTCTTTTATAAAACAGGAAGGAATATTAGAAACACAGGAAGTTGAACATCTCAGTAAATGCCAAGAAGGAGATTGTGCCTTGGAGGAAAGGTTGGCATGGAGCCAGTATCCTTCTGTGCCCTTGGTCTCACCAGACCCAGGGCCAGACCAATAAGAAAGAAGGGAAAAGGGAAATTAAAAGAAGCCAGAGATATGGACAGAAACAAGAGGAAGGAGAGAATGGAAAAGAAGTTGAGAGGGAACAGAAAAGAAGTACACAGGTAGAATTGGTGGGTGAGCTGTGGAGAAACTGCAAACCGAGTGAAAGCCCTCTAACACTGAAATGCAATAAGACTGCATTACTCCATCCCATGCTCAGCCCCAACCATGCCCATTTGGATAAAATGGATTCCATTTGGTAATGGTTGGCAATAACTGTCATTTCTGAAATGCCAAGGGCCCACATATACAACCAGTTGACACCTTTATAGTAGTATTTATAGCTCAGACACTTTAAAACATGACTGTGGGCTGGGCACAGTGGCTCATGTCTGTAATCCAAGCTCTTTGGGAGTCTGAGGCAGAAGGATCACTTGAGCCCAGGAGTTTGAGACCAGCCTGGGCAACCCAGTGAGAACTCATCTCTACAAAAAAAAGGTAAAAATTAGCTGGGCGTGGTGGCACATGTCTATAGTCCTTGCTACTAGGGAGGCTGAGGCAGGAGGATCACTTGAGCCTGGGAGACAGAGGCTATAGGGAGCTGTGATTGCACACTGCACTCCAGCTGGACAGCAAAGTGAGACACTGTATCAAAATAAATAAATAAATAAATAAACAAACAAACAAACAAACAAACAAACAAACAAATAAATGAACCTGTGGTAGAGTAGAGAATGTAGAGACAGAAGTTTATGTGGTAGGAAGGGGACATGTGATACGAGGTTGAACAAGAGGCCCAAGTGGAGGGACACATAGGGCCATGTAGGTGTCCTGTTAACTCCATGGAGGAGGTTTCTGGGGATGTCCCAGGCCATGTTGCCTGAGAACATGTCTGCCTGAGACTCATTCTATTCCTGAAAGTCTGAAACCATCAGTTGTATTCTTACATTGATTATGGTTCAATGGTATGGTTTCTCCGTATAAACGTCCTGGCCACCATTTAGAAATGATCCATAATTTCTTGTTTGGGTCTTAGTTTTTCCACTTATACAATTTTTTACTTATTTTATTTTCTATCTGCTTCACGGGCATATTAATGTGTATGGTTAACAAGCAATCATTAGCAGTTACCAAGTGAAAGACAAATGGCAGATGGAAACTTTTGATCTGTCCCACACACGTGTCTTGGTGAAGGTATTCAGGCCACTCCAGGGGCCAGTCTGGAAGCCATATCTGATCAGGTTAGGGCATGATATAGTTTGGCTGTGTCCCCACCCAAGTGTCATCCTGAATCGTAGCTCCCACAATTCCCACATATTGTAGGAGGGACCTGCTGGGAGACAACTGAATAATGGGGGCAGTTTCCCCCATACTGTTCTCGTGGTAGTGAATAAGTCTCACGAGATCTGATTGTTTTATAAGAGGTTTCCCCTTTTGATTGCCTCTCATTTTCTCTTGCCTGCTGCCATGTAAGACATGCCTTTTGCCTTCCACCATGATTGTGAAGCCTCCCCAGCCACGTGGAACTGTGAGTCCATTAAACCTCTTTTTCTTTATAAATTACCTAGGCTTGGGTATGTCTTTATTAGCAGCATGAAAACAGACTAATACAGGGCATCACACCCAAATTAGACCTGTTTCTCCTCTACTTCCATATGAACTCTGTAATGCTTTTCCTATTGCTGATAACAACCTGGTTGCAGACCAACATGTTATATCAATGTTCTGTAAATAGGCACATGTTACATAAAGCACCACGGCATAAACCAGGTGATAATACATTGTAATGACACTCTAAAAATGTAGTAATCACTCAATAAAATCCTTAGCATCTGCTATATACCTCGAATTATACCAGAAGCTTTTAGGATATGAGCAAAAAAAAAAAAAAAAAAGACATAGACCCTGCTAAAAAGGAACTTACAATCCAGCTTGAAGAAATAAAGCCCACACATAAAAAAATTAGGGAACAAGACCATATTCAGTTAAGTGCAAAAATTGAAAAGTATGCTCGATTAGCAAGCTAGAGGGTTTATTAGAAATAACAGTAGCTTAAAAACTTCCCTACTATAAAAACCATAGTTTAAGCCTGCTTTAACATTAGATCTGGTTTCCCACAACTGATTAACCTGAAAATGGTTTAGCACAACACTAATCCTTTAATTTAACAACCTATAAATGCCGTATATAACAAGTTCCACAGAGCCCTTTCTTGGATTCATAATGATAACCTGCATCTACCACACTATCCAATGTTCATTTTAATGAGCACCTCTGGACTTTAATGAACAATCTTAGGTCTAAGTGAGCATCAATTAAAGAGAAAATGCCTCCAAAGGTATAAATGGTGATGTATCATCTGGGTTAGCAGGGTTGAAAGGACACCTGTGAGCATCGTGAGGTTTGGATGGCAAGTGTGCCCCCTTGATCAGCAGCTCCCACCTCTGTCTGATATAGAGCGAAGCTGGGGCCTGGGATGAAAGAAGAAAGCCCCAGCACATAAATATTAGGGGAATGCTATAGAAGGAGGAATTCTGAAAGAAGAGAAATACATCTGAGCAACACAGAATTGCTGCAGAGTTACCTGCACGCATTCTTACAGTTTTCCAAGGACAAGAGGAGGGTATGGCATTAACCCGAGCCCCTGAATATGTCTAATTCTGTAGGCATGCAAATGAGAATTGGTCTGACTGACTTTGCGGCAGCAGCTGAGCCCTGCTAACTTCCCTTCAGAACTCAGCTTGGGCTAGCAAAGAAAAGACGCCCACTCACCCACCTACCCCAGCAGCTTTGCAGAAGTGCTGCAGGGTGAAGACAATGAAGAAAGGCAAGGCTGAAGAAAGCCGAGGCATTCTGCCCTCTCCCAGCAAAGACAGCCTGGACGTGTTCAGACCCTATCGCCGCATCAAAAGAAGAACACCAAGGAGAAAGGAGTCACAAAAGCTCTGGCATGATCAGGAAGGCACCTGGATTTGAAAAGGATATATTATTGCCCAAGCTTAACTTCACTGATTTCCATGACTAAGCCACTTGACAGAAAACTCCTTTTTTTCAATTTAAACTTTAAGAACTACAGCTCTGTTACTTAGAATCCAAAGCAAATATCATCAGGACAAGTGTCTCTGAGGAAACAGCTGTCAACAACTCTGCAATTCCTTTATCCACTACATGCTAACACCCATCCTGAGCCCAGCGAATGTCCTTCTATGCCTGGTTACAAAGATTGGGGCATTACAAAAATTCATCATTCCCCCTTCTCTCACCCTGATAATCACAGTAGTTTCTGGGGGACCTAGATGGAACCCTTTATTAAATTTTGGAACATGAGAAAGGCTGGGTGGTACCCACTTGTCATTTGTAAGTGAGTGCTGGATAATTTCCATCAGACCACAATGCTTGTATCTTTATTTTTTTTTTTCCTGCTCATTGCCTTCCTATGATACTAATTTAAGAGTTCTTTCAAACCCAAATTTAGCTCTGTGTGCCCACCTAGATTGCTCTGGGAATTGAAATAGTCCAAGCTATTTGCTTTGGAAAATATACTCCATTGTGAATGAAAGGCCTATGGCCAAGGTGTTTCCTTCTGGCACAAGAAAAGAGAAAAGACAGAACAGGGAAGGGGCAGGGGGAAGTCTGATAAAAATGGACTATCTGTTCAATTACCTACAGATTTCCCACTGGGCTTTACTTTAGAAAGTTGTACAGGTTAATGCTATCCACAAGCCCTGGGCACTGGTGCCCCATGGCACAGCTGCCTGCGGGATGGCACATGGTACACTAATAGCACACTTATTATTAGATTTTCTGCATGGTTACATAAGCCTACAAAAGGGAAAAATGTAAATGATTCAAGAAGATATTCTTCATGCGGTTCTCATGAAATCTTTAATATCTTAAGACTTAGGAAGAACTCTCCTGGCAAGATACGATCAATTTTCATGCTTCATTAGGAAAAAAGCCCTTTCAGTAATGTTACAGAAATGGCTATAGGCAAAAGAGAGAAAAAAATTACACTCTGGACTGAACAAAACCCCAAGGCACTTTGGACTAAATCCTTTCTTTGTACCCACAGCATATCTGAAAGGAGAAGCAATGCTCACTTGGGGTGTGTGGGGATTGTATTTTGACTAGCCTGTCTACCCACAGAATTTCATTTAATCTAGGTGGAGTTGTTATCAATCTGTTTAGTCTTTCACAAATTTGAAGGGACTGTAGCTTAAACCAACAATCACCCTCAAAGCATTGCAATGATATGAAGGAAACAGCTGACATGGGGCCTGTGGAGGTGGGAAAATGGTGGATTGGAGAGAGGCCATATACACTTGAATTTCTGCAAAGGCAGAGGCAAATTATGTCACCTTCCCGCTTTCCTTTTCATTTAAAATCTACAGCTTTTCAAGACAATTTCCCTTTATTTCAGGAGAATCGAGAATACAAAAATAAATGTCTTAAGCACATCATTTACATTATTTTTTTCTGACACTTGAATAGTTGACAAACTCTGAAATCACTTCTTTTAAACCTAATGTTGATACCAAATTCTACTTTTTGGACTCAAAAAAACAGTCTTTAGAATTGTTCAATTTAAAAGCCTTGTCATACTGTAGTTATATATACTCAAGGAAGTTATTGTATGCAGAGAGCTGCAGACATTCTTGAAAGGTAAGGAGTATACAAAGATATAACCTGCAGGAACCTAGCAATCTAGCTTCAAAATGGTTTCATTCATTCATTCATTCACACGAGCACTTCCATCAATTTACTTTCAGTATCCCTCATATATGGGATTAGTGCCCATCTATAAGGGACCCCAGAGAGCGACCTTGCTCCTTCCACCATGTGAGGACACACCAAGAAGGTGTCATCTATGAACCAAAAAAATCAAACCTCACCAAATCCTGAAGCTGCTGGCACCTTGATCTTGGACTTCCCAGCCACCAGCACTGTGAGAAATGTATTTCTGTTGTTTATAAGTTTACGGTATTTTGCTTAGCAGTCCAAATGGACTAAGACACTGCCAAAAGCCAAAAATACATCCACCTCAAAGGAAGAAAAGTTTGAAACCATTCAACTGGAGTGAATGTGGCACACTCTTGTTCTCTGCCTGGGAGAACAAGTCAGCTGATATGAGCCTGCTTTTCTGTGTGAAGAATGTACAGAGTTTGAAAAGATCCTTCTTCTTCCCTCATCCTTCCCATTGCTGTGCACCTTCATGGGTCATACAGGTTATATGAGGGTCCGGAGGGTCAGAGCTGAACAGGCTACAGCCGCTGTTCACCAAGAGCCCATGGTCTCGCGGGGAGACAGACACCAAGAAACCATCACAGCTCACTGGGATTAGTGCTCCACTGGGGGTAGCTGAATGGTGCTCTAAGAGCAGAGAGGAACAAGACTATCTCTGTACGCCTGTGTGCACAGGAGCGGGTGGTGTGAGGTGGCTGCTGACAGGAATGTGGCACAGAGAAGACAAGATGTAAGCTGAATCCTGAAAGATGAGCAAAGCAGTTACCAAAGACAGAAGGGCAGCATTTGCATAAACGCTGAAAAATGCTTGTAAAACTATGGCGGCATAGCATAAGCACACGCAGTGTTTGGGAGAATGGCCAGTGATTTGCTAAGGCTCCACCAGGTCTTTCAGGGTTAGAACAGAGCATCATCACACATAACAGCACGTGTATGTAATATGACAAGCAATTGAGCTCCATTTGGGAAACTAGAGCTCTAAGCGCCTTCTGCCTACTTCATGGCAAGGAGGGCCATCTCGGGCACCACCAGCCCTCTATGGCAGCCATGGGGCTCGTTCATATCCTCCTGGCCCACCACAACCTGTGTGCAGGTACTCAGGCCACACTGCTTCCCTTTGTCTATGCCAGGTGGCCTTATTCTTCAAAGCTCTGGCCAAGTTCTAATTCTTGCACGTGCCTTACTTGCTAACTCCTACCCAGCAACTCAGAACATTAACTGATTGTACCACTCCCCTGGTCTGTCCTAACTCAGATACTGCCTTGTGTCATAAAAGCAACATACCTTAGATTTAGATACCATGCTATGACTTACCAAGCACTTTATAATATACATTATACCCTTAATATCCCCAGTAATTCTTTCAGATAGGCGTTAGGCCCACTTTTTAGATCAGTAAACTCAGGCTCATGTAGGTTAAGGGAAGTTCCCAGGAGCACAGAATATGTAACTTGTGGAGCCAGGACTAGAAAACAAATCTACAGATTCTATGAACAGTGCTCTTCCATTACACCACTGGGCCCCTCTCTTGACTTTATTTATTTATTTATTTATTTATTTATTTATTTATTTAGAGACAGGGTCTCACTCTGTCACCGAGGCTGGAGTGCAGTGGTGCAATCACGGCTCACCGCAGCCTTGACTGCCCTGGCTGAAATATCCTCCCACCTCAGCCTCCTGAGTAGCTGGGACTACAGGTGCACACCACCACCCCTGGCTAATTTTTTAACTTTTTTGTAAAGACAAAGTCTCACTATATTTCCCAGGCTGGTCTCAAACTCCTGGGTTCAAGCAGTCCTCCCACCTCAGCTTCCCAAAATGCTGGGAGTATAGGCATGAGCACAGTGCCCAGACCTCCTCTTGACTTATTAAGTTATTATGATGCCGATTCAGCAAGCCCACTACTGGGTATCTACCCAGAGGAAAATAAGTCATTATTCGAAAAAGATACTTGCACACGCATGTTTATAGCAGCACAATTCACAATTGCAAAATCATGGAACCAACCCAAATGCCCATCAATTGAGTGGATAAAGGAACTGTGGTACATATATATGATGGAATACTACTCAGCCATAAAAAGGAATGAATTAACAGCATTTGCAGTGACCTGGATGAGATTGGAGACTATTATTCTAAGTGAAGTAACTCAAGAATGGAAAACCAAACATCATATGTTCTCACTGATATGTGAGAGCTAAGCTATGAGGATGCAAAGGCATAAGAATGATACAGCGGACTTTGGGCACTTAGGGGGAAGAGTGGGAGTGGGGAGAGGGATAAAAGACTGCAAATATGGTGCAGTGTATACTGCTCAGGTGATGGGTGCACCAAAATCTCACAAATCGCCACTAAAGAACTTATGTAACCAAATACCACCTGTATCCCAATAACTTACGGAAAAATAAAATAAAAATTTTAAGAAGTTATTATTATGCCACTTATTTTGAATAAGTACACGTTTTACCCTTGTGATGCAACGCAACTGAAGAATGACCTACTATCAATTCTATTCCTTTGTGTCCTCCATGACACTCTAGAACAGTGCTATGCAAGCAGAAAGTAACAGCTTATTCATTCATTCATTCAATAACCATACACTGAACATCCAGGAAGTGCTAACCAGGTACTGCACTAGGTATTAGGGAAACAGAGATGAGTAAAATTCAGTTGAGACTCCATGTCTTGTTGGGAACCAGGCACGTGTAGAGGTCACTCTTACGCAGGTAATAAATGACTCTACAGAGGCATCAGCAAGACGCTGGAAGGAGAAATAAGTCAGCAGCAACTCACTCTGCAAAGAAGTGTACAGGAAGCTCTAGATGGGTCATTTTTGAACATATCCTCAAGATGAGTTTTGAAAGGATAAACTCAATAAGTGGCTTAAAAAGTAAGAAAAGAGGAAGGAAAGGAAAACAAGAAAGAAGGAACAAAATAGGAAACTTAGGTGGGTCCACATGGACTGTACACATCCACCCAGCAGGCTATAGAATGTTTCTCTCCCAAGGGCAATGAATTGGTTTAGCCACAGGATTTTCTTCAAAGGAGGTCCTCAACATGCCAGCGGGTACTTCCCTGATTTTGGTCAGGATGCAATCCAGGTGTACATCACTGGCTTGTGACATCTGTAATCTGCCCAGATCACAGATGCGCAGAAACAAGGCATCAGATTCCCTCTGCTTAGAACAGAAGCCAGGAGAAGGGGCTGAATACATGCATCTTTAAGATTCATACCCACGGAACAGAGACTCTCCTAGTCATCTGTTCACAAACTTTCAGTGAGTGTCTACTATATGCCAGGCAGACCACAGTGCAAAAAATTAAGCTTAATAACCCTTAAATATCATTCTCTGGTTCCAGGCCTCTTCAGAAGCTTGGCTATTTATTATCTAATATTCTTGTGAGTTCCTGTGTCTGGATTTCTGTGTTTAGGCTCTTTTAGGGAGATAGTAAGGAACTGGCATCCATGTGACTTTTTTTTTTTTTTAAAAGCCTTCTCTGCCTGAAAATGCCAGACACATTTCAGATGTCAAAACTAACGTGGCATTCAGGGTGGGTGACTGATCCATGTGAGTGCTCTTAAGTGGGTGTAGAAGCCTGTCTGGCTCATTGTCTTTTCTGCACACGCGCATTCAAATGTGCACAGGCTTGTAGGCCATAAATAGCTCTTAGGGGAGTGTGAGATTACATCACAGACTCAAGAGGGCCCCGTTACCTCAAATCAGTGAATGCTTGACACTCATCTCCCCAAAAAGGCATGCTGTTGAAAATGCAGATACTAGACTCACCCTGACCCCCAAAAAACTACCACTGGCAGGCATTGTTATGGGCTGAATTCTGTCCCTCCAAATTTATATATTGACATCCTGACCCCTAATACCTCTGAATGTGAACTTACTTGGAAATAGGGTTGTTGCAGATATAATTAGTTAAGATGAGGTCATCCTGGAGGAGAGGGGTTCCTAATCTGACAGAACTGGTGTCCTTGTGAAAAGGGGAAATGTGGGCTGGGCGCGGTGGCTCACGCCTGTAATCCCAGCACTTTGGGAGGTCGAGGCAGGCGGATCATGAGGTCAGGAGTTCGAGACCAGTCTAGCCAACATGGTGAAACCCTGTCTCTACTATTACAAAAATTAGCCTGGCGTGGTGGCGGGCGCCTATAATTCCAGCTACTCGGGAGAATGAGGGAGGAGAATCTCTTGAACCTGGGAGGCAGAGGTTGCAGTAAGTGAGATCGCACCACTGCACCCCAGCCTGGGTGACAGAGCAAGACTCCATCATGAAAAAAAAAGGGGGAAATGTGGACTCAGGCACACAGGCAGAGTGCTCTGTGAGGACTGGAGTGACAGAGCCACATGCTAAGGAGCCACCAGAAGCTAGGGAGTGACCTGGAACAGATCCTTCCCGAGCATCTTCACAGGGAGCATGGCCCTGCCCACACCTTGATCTCTGACTTCCAGGCCCCCCAGCTGTGAGACACTCAATGTCTGTTAAGTCACCCAGTTTCTGGCACTTTGTAATGGCAGCCCTGGAAAAATATTACAGGCATATAATGCCGTTTGTGTGTGAAGGAATGACTTCATCATCCAGTGGCTGGAATTTAATTATGATGTGATGCTATCAACAACATTCACTTCCTCTTCACATATATTGTGCCCCTCACCTGACTGCAAAATTCCCATTGCAAGTTAAGACAGGTGCCTTACACAGTGACCTGAGCTGCCTCTCTTCCAGAAGGGACAACTCTGCCAGTCAGGTTATCCACAGTGAACATTACAGCAGACTCCACTATTTCTCAGGTATCTACGTTTGGTAGATACTTCTCCTGCTCCTTGAGAAGTCCCCAGTGGTCAGTCATGGAGAGTTATTATTAAAGTACCCAATCTAAGAGCCACTGACGTTTCTATACTGATGTATGTCTACATTTATAGATTTAGACATGGAGTTATACAGAATGAAAGTTTATTCAAATAGATAAAAACATCCCAAATTGAAGTTCCACTAACTAGTAATTGGCTATTAGTAATTCTACCCAAAACAAATTAATAATTCATTTGGGCCAGGCCTGGTGGCTTATGGCTCTAATCTCAGCACTTTGGGAGGCCAAGGCAGGAGGATCCCTTGAGGCCAGGAGTTTAAGACCAGCCTGGGCAACATAGCAAGACCCCATCTATACAAGAAGCTTAAAAAAATAGCCAGGCAGGAGAATGGTGTGAACCTGGGAGGCGGAGCTTGCAGTGAGCTGGGATCACACTACTGCACTCCAGCCTGGGCAACAGAGCGAGATTCCATCTCAAAAAAAAAAAAAAATACCCAGGTACGGTGGTGTGCACTTATAGTCCCAGCAACTTGGGAGGCTGAGGTGGAAGCATCACTTGGGCCCAGAAGTTTGAGGATGCAGTGAGCTATGATCGTGCCAGTGCTCTCCAGCCTGGGTGACAAGAGTGAGACTCTCTCCCTAAAGAAAAGAAAAAGAATTCCCTTGGAAGGTTTTGCTTTTTTAGAAATAAGATTAGCTAAGAAAATTAATAATGCAAAGAAGTTAGGGGTGGGTGGGGTGAGAGAACAGGAATATTTAAACTATTTTTTTAAATCCAAAATTGTTTTAAAATAGTTTATCCCATTTCCATTCCTCCATAACAATGAAGATGCTGACTTTCAACGTCTGTTACTGTAGCCTAGGTAGAGTGAAGGGTGGTCATCCAAGACTCACATCTAGAGCAGGGGTGTCCAATCTTTTGGCTTCCCTGGGCCACACTGGAAGGAGAAAAATTGTCTTGGGCTGCACATAAAAGACACTATCACTAATGACAGCTGATGAGCTAAAAAAAAAATAAATAAACTTGCAAGTCTTGGCCAAGTGTTCCTGGGAAGGCCTGGATGGCAGAGGTGAATGGGAGGGGGGGAGTGGGGAGGGTGGAAGTGGGGAGTAGGGAGCATGGCACCATGCTCAGAAAGACTCCCTGAAAGCCTTGTTACTCCTCTCTGTCCCAAGTTCCCTTTTCCCAGGACGATTGCTCTTCCTCCCATCTCGCCCTCCTCTCTTACAGGTCCCTATAATGGCTGTTCTTATGTTCCCCACTCCCTACCCCGCACCATATCTTCTCTTAAGGAGGAATTTGGCCTAATCTAAGTTTAATCATTGACCTTTCTGACCTCACAAGGAATAGCAAGCTAAATAAGCACAGAACTTGTCCTCCTTAGATGGTGAGGAAAGAGAATTGTAAATGTTTATGACTTGCTATATTTTTCTTTAATTCATGGAACATTTTATATTAATGTAAAAAGAACTGGGAGGACTGTTGGGAATACTCTGTCATACCAGCATCATTCCACTTGAGCCCTTTATGCTATAATATTAAATGTAGTTATATATTTCCTATTTTCCTTCTTTTCAAACTATAAAACTTAGTCTTTCACGTAATGGGAGAGGCGATAGAATATGGTGCTTATGGTAAATGCTCAATATATTTATCTATTATTAATGATAATACTGGATTTATACTGAAATAATTCACCACTTATTAAAACACAATTCTTAAAATATAAGTTGCCCTTCCCCACCACACACACTTTTCTGTTTGTGGTCATTAGATCATGCTACTAACGGCTTTGCCTAAACAATTTATTCATTTAACATCTACACACCAGGCACCCAGCTAGTCTGGGGACAAAAACGGGTAAGACAGCATCTTTTCTGCCCCAAAGGGATGATGGAATGGAGGAACGAGGACATTACTTTGACATGGGGCACTCCTTTGGCCAATGAAGTAAAGGTCAGTGAGTGAACACACAAAGAAATGATTAACCTGTCATAGAAAAGGTCATGAATGTAGTGCCAGCTACAGGATACTTCACTTTGCTCTCATGAGATTTGGTCAGTAAAGGAATTATCCGTGTAAAGAGAAAATCAGGAGCAACCTTGCCAGCCTGTGAACAAAAGACTAGCCAATGCCACTTCTTACCAGCAAGGTCCAAACAGTCATGCCAAGGTTATGTGGGGTATGTAGAATGTGTTCTCTCTGTACCCTGTCTTGAATTCTATTTTGCACATCCAGGAAAGCCAAGAAACGCATGCACCTGATTGCAACATATATAGTCATATTTTGATACCACAGTTTGGATGGCAAGATTATTCAATCCTTTTTCCTATCAGAGAGCTTCATCTGTTTTCTCTGACTTCTCCATGGATCCACAACAGTCAATGCTTTAAAAAATACTCAGGACATGGACCAATACAAAAATAAAGGTAATCGTGATTAAACAACTGAACATGGAATAAGGCCACAGAAGGTTCTCTAAAAAGAGTATCTGACCTTGCTCAGACTGGTGTGACCATGAGATATGAGATGGAACAAATGGCACAGATAGCAAGGAATGCAGGTGTGTGGTATCTCTTCATATTCATTCCCACTTCAGTTCAGCCTAACACTTCATTCACCAAATGAGTGATCACCAACTGCCTACTATGCATCAGACATATAAAACAGAAGATCTAAAAGACACAGTTCCTGTTCTCAAGGAGCTCCATTGATATGGTTGGCATTTGTGTCCCCACCCAAATCTCATGTCAAATTGTAATCCCCAGTGTTTGGAGGAAGGGCCTGGTGGGAGATGACTGGATCACGGGCTTAGATTTCTCCCTCTCTGTTCTCATGATAGTGAGTTCTCATGAGATCTGGTTGTTTAAAAGTGTGTAGCACCTCCCCTTTCCCTTCCTCCTGCTCCAGCCACGTAGGACGTGCTGGCTTCCCCTTCTCCTTCTGCCATGATTGTAAGTTTCCTGAGGCCTCCCCAGCCATGTTTCCTGTACAGCCTGTGGAAACATGAGCCAATTAAACCTCTTTTCTTTACACATTATCCAGTCTCAGGTAGTTCTCATAGCAATGTGAGAAGAGACTAATACATCTGTATCCAGTGTGCAGAGATGGTCAAGAGAACAGACACTAAAAATCTTACATATGAGTTTCATGGGTGGGAAGCACAGAGTGGCTCAGTGAGACCAGGAGGGAAAAGTTAGGGTGGGCTCCTTGGAGCTGATGGCAGGGTTGAGTTTTGAAGAGTACACAGGAATGTGTGACTGCATGTGATGTGAGAGGGAACATTGTCTAGACAGAGGAGGGAGCTCATGCAGAGTCACATAAGGGGACATGCCACATTCAGGGAAGCACAAGTATGGCATGCCAGGAGGGGAGGAAGGAGGTAACGAGTGCCCTTCTCTCCCCAAGATATCTCTTGAAGGTATGGAGAATCTCAGAAGGGTTAGGCAGGAACATTTTTTGATTAAAAATGTCACTCTGGTCATAGAGTAGAAGATGGATGAGAAGGGACCAGGTTCTACAGGCAAGGCAAACAGTCGGGAGGAACTTGCTGCAATGCCACTGAGCTGTCATCAGGTTTGGCCTGCTGCAGGGGCAGTAAGCATGGAGAAGAGGAGGCGGACAGGGGAGATGTCCCAGGCAGACTCAGCACCAAGGCTGCTGAATGGCTGGGCAGGGGCACATGGAGGAACAGCATAGGGGCTTCTGGCTTGGCTAGTGCCATTTGCACAAGAGATATGGGAGAAATCATGGTCTAGCTCCTTTCTAACTCAGTGCCTTAATTTCTCGTTTTACTTCTAGGATAAAGTTTAAAATCTCTAACTTGACGCTGAAAGTTCTCTACAATCCCCCTACATGCAGTAGGTACTCGATACATACCAGTTGATTCAACAACTGAAACAAACACACAAAAATAACTTTCTCTATCTAACATATCAATATTTTTCTGATTACAGGTTTGGCTTACTACTTTGCCTTTGTGAAAGAAGAGAAATAGCTTGCAACTTATTCAAAGAATAAGATAAGTGCAAACATTTTTCTGATAACGTGCTAATCTCAAACACATTTTCTCTCCTGATACAGGGCTACAGTGTGTTCATCTGATTATCACCAACAATCATTCCTAATCATTCCTATCTTACTCTGGGTTAGGGTCTCTGTCCTCTCCTTCACCCTTAAGGCTATTAGTCTTCACGATAAAAAATTTCTAGGTAGAGATAGATGCTTGGGGTTCTAAAAGAGCAAGTGGTAATCCTCACATACGATGACACATTCCAGCCTCTAAAGCAGTCTGCATTACAGGATCATTATTATTTTTTCCAGCAAAGAAGCCACAATTCAGGAATCTATGCAAAAATAATTAAGTGAAGGTTGCTCCATCAAGTTTCCATCAATCACTCCTCCTTGCCATTCTGCCCTTCCTGAGATGACAACATGTCAGCTGCTTTGAACAAGATCTACATCGCGTTCTCTGCATTGCACTTGCTGCTGCTTTGTAGTCTGCTGGGTAGTGGTGACAGCGCGTTAACCATAAAAAAATGGGGAGTTCAGGACTGGAGGGGGCTGAGAACATTTTAACATATTTGCAAAGGCACAAGATTGTAAGAATAGTTATGCTGAGAACTTAAACTTTTGCTTTCAGATCAGACTGAACTCTTAACACTTTTACATGAAAGAAATGCAAGGAGAAACCTATGATAAAACCAATACATTAACATATGTGGATATCGTGTGCCTCTAGAAAGTCAGGAGAGCAAATGTGGGAGCTCCTTGAGTTATTCTGATCTGCTGCACAAGGCCACCAGGGCTGGGTCTCTGACACTGATAACAGGTCTCTGGTGAAGGACCTTGTGTAAAGAGTATAATGGTAACAAAAATAAAAGAAATGAAGAAACGCATATTAGGACTAAAAGATGTACATAGAGAGAAATGAGCGTAACTCCTTGGGCTCATAGGCTGAATGCCTCTGAACATGAACAGGATGTTACTCCTTCAAATCACTTTTTAAAAATATTTTGATTATTTTTAAAGGAGACGGGGTTTCACTATGTTGCCCAGGCTGGTCTCAAACTCCTGGGCTCAAGCAATCTGCCTGCCTCAGCCTCCCAAAGTGCTAGGATTACAGGCGTGAACTACCGTGCCCAGCCTCCCCTATATCATTTTTACTCCCAGGGCTACTATTTCTTTGAGGACAAGGACTGTGTCTTAGTCATTGTAGTATGATGCGTCTAATAGTACCTGACACATAGCAGATGCTTAGTGCATGTTAGCTTGTTAAATACATGCATCTGGCACAAGGGATCAAGCAAATCTCTGAATGACAGATTGACTAGGAAGAGCGGGAGATCAATGACTCAATGGTGGTCACGGATCAGCACTCTCAACTAACCATGAGAACCCGGATGAAGTAGAAGCTAGGTTAAGCTGATCTTTTCCCCTCCTCATTAAATTGCCATTGCTCCCTATAGGGTCATCAGAAAGCCTGGATATGGCCCCTGTGGAGGCACCACATATCTCTGAATGCTGAGTAAAACAGATAATGTAGAGAGACATGAACTTCTTCACTGAAAGTTCACTGTGGAAGACCTCTCCATCAGCCACTGAGAGGGAGGTGGTGCCCTGCTACTTGGGTACAGAAGTCAAACTCAGACTATGCTTGCTCGTGATTCTCAAACAAGGCAGGGGTTACCCTCCCAGGGACATCTGAAAAGGAGTGGGGCCATTCTGAATCCTTAAAACAACTTGGAAACATTGTTGGGATGAGTAGGTAGGGATGAACCGGGAGTGCTTGTTGTGTTGTCATGAGCGGGAGAGCTCTGCATAGCAGAGGGCCGTCCTGCCTGCTTCGTTATGAAACACTGCAACTTTAACGAAACACTCTCTAGAACAGATAGCATTGTCTTAGGGTTCTTCTGTATTTAATTCTTCCTTCCACATAAAATATCGAATCAGGCTATCAGATATCTCCTGTCAAAAATATAATACCTGAGGATATCTGCAATAATTTTAATAGTTACCATTGACCAAACATCCACTACATGCCAGGTAGTGTACAATACACAACTAAATCTTAACAACAACAACAATGAATTTAGTGGATACTTTTTAAAACTCCCAATTGCATAAATTCAGCCAGAGAGGAAAAAAGCAACTAATCTAAGCAACTTACCAGTCAGTGGAGGAGCCAAGATGTGAATCCAGGTTCCTCCGACCCCAAGTCCATAGATGTGATCATTAAACGACAATCTTGGTTTTCATGATGGCCAATAACCCAAAGCCTACTATGCACAGGGGAGTGTGAAGATCCCGAGAAGCCGGGGCAGAGCCTTGACCACTGACAGTCTCTTAACCAAAGAATCTGCAGTCACGGTGAAAGGGGCTGCAGGTCCCATGCAATGCTGTCAGCTGCAGGCCTGGGAAGAGTTCCATCAGCAGTAATGATGAACAGCTTATTATGTGTATCTATCTCACTGCCTTCTTGACAGGATCTCTGCTACCAAAATACAGAACTTTCCTGAGAGTGATTCTTCACATAAAAACACATGAAATTCCTCAAAAAAACTGAGGATCAAGTGGTGGTTTCTCTGAGTAGCACTAGATTGTCTGCTTCCATCAGACATATGGACTCTCCTAAGACCCGGGAAGACCACAGGCAGGTATGCTTTTGAAATAAGGATGCAGGAGAAATTCTGCTACGTCAAATAAAGTGTATTAGATTAGGTCTAGTATTTATCTTCTAAAGGAAGTCTGCTGTCCTCACAGTTGGGAACTTCACATGTGATTTCTATCAGCATTTTATGGACCATATCAGAAAGCTGGCATGATTCAATAAGATTCAGAAAAGATGAGACCCCAGGAGGTCATGAGTGCTAACCACAGCCCAGCTAGTGGAATGCTATGTGACCTTTAGTGACTTGTTTTAACATTCTCATGCCTCTGCTCATGGGTTACTGAACTTTTCTAATCCAAGGGTCTCTGCATCCTACAGTCTGTAAAGCTAATTCATAGGCTTGCTGCAAAGATAAATACTGCTTTAGATTCAAGTAAGCTCTGGATATGACTGTAAGAAATATATAATTATCATTATTTAAAAAAAATAGAACAAGAGACTTTCTATTTTACTTTGTTTATACTGCCCTCCTGACCAATGCTGTCTTCATTTACTTAATTACCATCCATCATCCTTGTCTTTTCCTGAGCACTATGTGCCTAAATTAAAAAGATGATAGTGGCCCGGCGTGGTGGCTCACGCCTGTAATCCCAGCACTTTGGGAGGCCAAGGCGGGCAGATCACGAGGTGAGGAGTTCGAGAGACCAGCCTGACCAACATGGTGAAACCTCGTCTGTACTAAAAGTACAAAAATTAGCCGGGCGTGGTGGCACGCGCCTGTCATCTCAGCTACTCGGGAGGCTGAGGCAGGAGAATCGCTTGAACCCGGGAGGCGGAGGTTGTAGTGAGTGGAGATGGCGCCACTGCACTCCAGCCTGAGTGACAGAGCGAGACTCCATCTCCAAAAAAAAAGAAAAAAAAAAAAGGAAAGAAAAAGATGATAGCATCCCTTGGTAGCAAATATACACGGAAAATTTCCATGTGGTTTATGCAGTTCTAAAAGAAAGCGACAGATATTGCATTTACTGTAGACCCACTTCCCAATTTCATTTGACTTCCTTTTGCCTTGAGAGTCCTTAATTTTCTTGTCTTCTTTAGGCTGTAAGACTACTGAATGAATGAAGGGGAGGCAGCAGTAGTCTTGGTTTCTGAACTTATCGACAATCCTTTCACTACAAGAACTACGCAGCAGATAAAAAGCGAGCATGTGACACACCTTCTGCTCATTTTCCTTCTGGAGGAAAAGAAAACATAGAAGCAAAATTGAAAAGGGTTAATGGAAAGCACTAACTAAACATTCAGGTGTACCCTGACTCACATAGGCACTGCAATCGTTCTATTTCAAATAAGTGGGACCAGCCCACAGGGCTCACAGGTTCATTGCACACAACTAAATGCTTAACCTGTTCCTTCCAACAGCAGGTGTCATGTGCAATGACATGACTAGCCCAGGATCAGTATTAAGAGTCCTGTGTACGTTCACCTTTTGTAAATCCTCTCACTGACTCACTGCACCAAGCTATGTTCTTGCTATTCATTTCCCAAAATTAGATTTCCTTACTGCAAGAAATACATACAGATTATTAATAGGCCTACTCCTTATTTTAAATATAAGGATAGTGAAGCTTGTTCAAGGTGACATAAAAAGTATCTGTAATGTCTGGCTAACACGAGCTTCCCAGGCTTTAAGTTAGCAGCTGGTCCCAAACTACAGACTCAAGTCCACCCTACTGCTACTAGTACTCTAACTGTGAGATCCTTGACCCATAGCTCTGTACTTGTTTTACTTCCCAAGAACTTCTGGCAATGGTAATTCTCACCTCTGAATGCTGATGTTTTTTCATTGCCATGTTTTCAGTATCTGTTGTCCTATCACCTTCCTGGCTAATCTTTATTACCCTCCATGCCCTGCATCTTGGGCCCCACTGAGAGCTTTGCTGGGAGTATGCATGCAAGCATCTTTCTCTCATACACTGCACTGCCTTTGGGATGCCTGAGTTCATACTATTTCCATAACTGCCCATCCCTGAAATAGATGAACAGTGGCCTTCTCTCTAGTTTAGAACTTGGGTTGTTAGACTCCTTGGGTCTATCTTAGCTTCTCTCCCTGTTTTCAGTTTGGATTTTCTACCTCCATTTGGCTTATCTATCTCTAGCGTCATATCTCCCTGATGATCCGTGGTAGTGGCGTTAATCCATTTACGAAAAACAAGACAACATAGATTCAAGGAGTCAAATAAACACATCACACACACACACACACACACACACACGCATGCACACAAGCAATGAAGATGGAACAGCAGAGAGTACACCAGACAAGAAGCCGTAAGTGTCGGTTCTAGTTCCAATTCCTCTCCACTGCAGCATCTCAGATGTAAACTGGCGTCAGTAACAGGTCCTGTCATCCACCTCCCAGGAAAATTGTCAAAGATAATAGTTATGGCCAGGCGTGGTGGCTCACGCCTGTAATCCCACCACTTTGGGAGGCCGAGGCAGGTGAACCATCTGAGGTTGGGAGTTTGAGATCAGCCTGGACAACATGGATAAACCCCATCTCTACTAAAAATATAAAAAATTAGCTGGGCGTAGGAGCACACGTCTGTAATCCCAGCTAATCAGGAGGCTGAGGCAGGAGAATCACATGAACCTGGGAGGCGGAGGTTGCAGTGAGCCGAGATTGCGTCACTGCACTCCAGCCTGGGTGACACAGCAAGACTCCATCTCAAAAAAAAAAAAAAAAAAAAAAAGTTATGAAGGTCTTCTGAAAACAAGAAAACACTATTCAGATGAAAACTATTATATTTATAGATTACTATTTTTTTTTAAAAAAAAGAAGCTCTTCTTTGAATTACCTATAATGCAACAGCAGCACCATCAAAATTGTGCACAATTCAATCAGAGGTTCTCAAACATGGCTGCCCATCAGAATCACCATTGTGCCTTTTAGGAAACACAGATTCTCAGACATTTGCAGTCTCTAATGGCCCTGGATTTTCTGGGCCAGTGCACAGGTAATGGTATTTTTTAAAAACATTTCCCCCAAGGGATTCTGATCAGTTAGGTTTGGGATCCACTTTCTAAAAATAACATGTTTCTCTGTGACGGAGGAAATTTAAGTATAACTATGATTCATGAATTTGTTATCTGTTTTTTTCTTCAGAGGATATCAGTTTAAGTGTTGGTTTTTAAACTGTAACTCTGAAGGCAAACAACTGGCAAGAGAGAGTTTTCAGGAAGAATGCTGGCTCTGGAAGGCAGCGGAAGGTTCTGGAAAAGCAATGTGTCCTATGAACTAGACTTTTCACCTGTAAGCATGGCAGGAAGAGGCTGTGCAAGGTGGTGGATGACTACAGGGCTTTGTTGTGGACTCCAGGCCTCTAATCCCTTTCAGTCTTTTTATTTCTCTGCCCTCAAAGCCCAGCAGCCTGGAGGGGAGAAGGCAGTGCCCTTGACTGCAGCCTGATGTTTCCTCCTGGCTTCTGGTGGCCTACGGTCTCCTTTACTGTAGGTTTCTGGAGCAAAAATCCAGCAGTCAGGTTACCAGGATCAGTGACAACTATGCAATAATTAGGGGCAGGCACCAGGAGGCAGAGAAACAGAGCTGGGTGGCAGAAACTCTATGATACCCCAAAGGAAACATCAACTCTTCTCAGAGGTGGTCAAGAACATGCCAGAAGCTTTGCCTGCCTGGTTGGCAGCAGAAATGGCACTAGCCAGTGATCACTCGTAACCTTGCTGCCTTCTTTACAGATGGCTGCTGTCAGGCTGTTTAATTTGGAGGAAATTCCAATGTCATCAGCAGAGACATGGCATTGGGGAGGGCTGCCAAGCACAAAGACAGAACTTGGCTTCCCCAGCTGATACCCATGGATACAGAAACAGGCTAGTCTTAACAATCTTTTAGACCTGACCTTAGTAGCAAACTGGATAACTGCCAGTCATAAAAGTGTTTCTAAAGTGGCCTGATTTTCTCCCCTCCTGTTAGGATCCTGGATGCTTGTAATGCTATTTATCAATGGTTATTTTGTGCTTACTGATGTGCAGACATTTTTTCCAACCCATTCTTTTTTTTTTTTGAGATGGAGTTTTGCTCTATAGCCCAGGTTGGAGTGAAGCGGTGTAATCTTGGCTCCCTGCAACCTCCGCCTTCTAGGTTCAAGCGATTCTCCTGCCTCAGCCTCCTGAGTAGCTGGGATTACAGGCGCCCGCCACCACACCTGGCTAATTTTTGTATTTTTAGTAGAGACAGGGTTTCATCATGTTAGGCAGGCTGGTCTCGAACTCCTGACCTCAGGTGATCCACCCGCTTTGGCCTCCCAAAGTGCTAGGACTAGAGGCATGAGCCATCGCACACGACCTCAACCATTCTTTATCTCTAAACTCACAAGACAGTGGTTCTCAAAGTGAGTCACCCAGGGAAAGCGGCATCATGATCACCTGTAAACTTGTTACAAATGCAAATTCTTGGGCTTTCCAGCAATCTGTGTTTGAACAAGTCCTCCAGGCAATGCCCATGCACTTGAAATTTGACAGTAACTCTCATAAGAGGTCACATGGCTCCCCTTAATGTAAACACACCAAAATGAAGTAAGAACCATTTTCTTTTAAGAAGTTTCAAGACCTTCAGACATTTTATTCGAGTAAATTCATAAGCAAAACACAAGCACATATTGACTTTTTTGCTTAATAAATATGATTTTCTCAGACCCACTAACAGATCACATGTTTCACCCACACAAAATAGTGTATGACTTACGAATGATCACAGAGAAGAATCACAGTGGCTTTTTAAATTTTTAATTTATTTTTATTTTATTGTATATATTTATTTTTTTTAGAGACAGGGTCTTTCTGGGTTACATCCATAGCTCACTGCAGCCTCAAACTCCTGGGCTCAAGCAATCCTCCCACATCAGCCTCCTGAGTAGCTAAGACTACAGAGATGTACAACCATACCCGGCTAATTTTTAAATTTTTTTGTAGAGAGGAGTTTTGCTTTTTTGCCCAGGCCGGTCTTGAATTCCTGACCTCAAGTGATCTTCCTACCTTGGCCTTCCAAAGTGTTGGAATTGTAGGTGTGAACCATCATGATGGTTCATAGTGAGTTGTTTAGTTTAAAATATGTGACTCTATCTCTACATTATTTGCCTACAAATATGTCTACCAAATTCATGACATATGACCAGTGTGTCTGAATACATACCAGTGTTTATGGCACTGACGTTTTAAGTCCTGTTCGGAAACACAAAATGCACTACTTAGCTTCCATATGTGACTAATTTTAAAATATGCTTTTTAGGCCAGACGCAGTGGCTCACACCTGTAATCCCAGCACTTTGGGAGGCCAAGGTGGGAGGATCACGAGGTCAGGAGTTCAAGACCAGTCTGGCCAACACAGTGAAATCTTGTCTGTATTACAATAAAGTGTAATACCTTTTCAACATGGGATTCTAACATGGAATCACCTTTTTTTTTTTTTTTTTGTAATTCGTGCCTCCCTCCCCTAGTTTTAACCTATGCTTGGTCCAAATATCATGGGTCTATGTTTCTGTGGTCTAAGACACTTCTTTAAGATAAGCCCGATGCCTAACACACATCTAGGAGTAAGTTAACAATTCTGAAATACTGGTTTCTTTGGCTTTTAGACCTGTTGATTGTTTTGGTTATAAAGGTCTGCCTTTAACATTTTTCCTTCTGTGTTCCTAACTAGGCCTCTGAGTCTCCACTGTCAAAATGTGGCTGATCAGACTTTAGGCAACCCTCACCTCAACCTGTGATTATGGAAGGAAGTACAGGACATCTTAACACTCCTTCCCGGTCACGTGCATCATGAATGAGCTAAAATTTCAATCTTTTGTTCTCCACCGGCCATTTTTTCCCGAACCCTTAAGGATAGATAGCCAGAAAAATAAATAAATAAATCTCTTCTTGGGAATATTTTCTAGAATGTTTTCATTTTAAAATTTAATTTCATTTTATTCCATTGTTAATTGACATCTGATAATTTCTTATATTTATGGGCTAGAGTATGATGTTTCAATACATGTATATATTGTGTAATGATCAATTCACGGTAATTAGCATATTTTTCACTTCAAACCTTTATCAGTTCTTTGTTATGAGAACATTCAAATTCCTCTTGTCTAGTTTTCTGCAGTCTTCTCTTAAGGACCAAAGAAGAAAATAAAAGACCCTATAAAATTCAGCTCTGTTTAAGTCCTATCTTTTAAGTAACTAAAAAGTTGAATACTAGCTCCAATAACTAGATCCATAAACCATTTTTCAATACTAATTTTCTTAGCCAAAGAGATATGCAGTAGAGAATGTGAGACCAAGAGTAGACAGCCAGTCCAAAGTCCACAGAAATAAAAATCCATTTATGACTGCATTTTCCACGCTGGCTTTCCAGGATGGTCCTGAACTTGCTAATTCATGGTATAACTTTGTACTGTAACACAGCCAAGGAGAAACAGTAGCATGTTGGAGCCAGGTCTGTGAGAGCTAACAGTTAAGCTTGACAGCCAAGCGTTCAACATAGCCAATGTTAAAAATTAACTTATATAAACTTATGGTTTAATAAATTATATTAAAAACTCCTGAGGCGAGGCGGATCACCCGAGATCGGGGAGTTCGAGACCAGTCGGACCAACATGGAGAAATCCCGTCTCTACTAAAAATACAAAATTAGCTGGGCATGGTGGCTCATGCCTGTAATCACACTACTCAGGAGGCTGAGGCAGGAGAATCACTTGAACCCGGGAGGTGGAGGTTGCGGTGAGCCAAGATTGCGCCATTGCATTCCAGCCTGGCCAACAAGAGCGAAACTCCGTCTCAAAAAAAAAAAAAAAAAAAAACAAGAACAAAAACAAAAACTCATCATCATCCCTCATTTTACTCTATTTTACTATTATCTGTATGACTGAGGTTAATTACATCTACTTGTATAGTGGATATAAAGTCATGCACCACATAACAACATTTGGGTCAGCCGCGGATTGCATATGTGACAGCGGTCACATAAGATTATAATGGAGCTGAAAATTTTCTACTGCCTACTGATGCTGTAGCTGTCCAATGTAATAGTGTAATACATTACTCATATGTTTGTGGTGATGCTGGTATATATAAACGTCCTGCAGTGCCAGTCCTATAAAAGTATAGCACATGCAATTACGCACAGTACATAATAGTTGATAGTGAAAATAAATGACTATGTTACTGGTTTGTGTATTTACGATACTATACTTTTTATTGTTATTTGAGAGTGGACTCTTTCTACCTATAAGAAATTAACTGTAGGCCGGGCGCAGTGGCTCATGCCTGTAATCCCAGCACTTTGGGAGGCCAAGGTGGGCAGATCACGAGGTCAGGAGATCGAGACCATCCTGGCCAACATGGTGAAACCCATCTCTACTAAAAATACAAAAATTAGCTGGGCATAGTGGCACGTGCCTGTAATCTCAGCTCTTCGGGTGGCTGAGGCAGAAGAATCACTTGAACCAGGGAGTCGGAGGTTGCAGTGAGCTGAGATTGTGCCACTGCACTCCAGCCTGGTGACAGAGCGAGACTCCGTCTCAAAAAAAAAAAAAAAAAAAAAAAAAAGCCAATTAACTGTAAACAGCCTCAGGCAGGTCCCTCTGGAGGTGTTCAAGAAGAAGGCATTGTTATCATCGCAGATGATGGCTCCATTCATGGTATTGCCTCTGAAGACCTTACAGATGGAAAAGATAAGGAGGTAGAAGACAGTGATACTGACCATCATGACCCTGTGTGGGGCTAGGCTAATGTATGTGTTTGTGTCTTAGTTTTTAACAGAAAACTTAAAAAAAAAAAACTTTTTTTAATAAGAAAAAGCTTATAAACTGGATGTGGTGGTGTACACCTGTAATCCCAGCATTTTGGGAGGCTGAGGCAGGAGGATGGCTTGAGCCCGGGTGCGCGAAACCAGCCTGGGCAACATAGTGAGACTTAGTTTCTACAAAAACAAGCTTATAGAATAAAGATATAAAGAAAGAAAATATTCTTGTACAGCTGTAAAATGTGTTTGTATTTTAAACTGAGTGCTATTATGAAAGTTATCAAAAAGTTTTTAAAAATTAAAAAGTTTATAAAGTAAAAAAGTAAGCTGAGCGTGGTTAATTTATTATCAAAGAAAGAACAATTTAAAAAACAAACTTAGTGTAGCCTAAGTGTACAGTCCTTATAAAGTCTACAGTGGGGTACAGTGATACAGTGATGTCCTAGGCCTTCACATTCACTCACCACCCACTCACTGACTCACCCAGAGCAACTTCCAGTCCTGCAAGCTCCATTCATGGTAAGTGCCCTATATAGGTGTGCCCTTTTAAAATCTTTTCTACTTCATTTTTACTGTACCTATTCTATGTCTAGATGCACAAAAACTATGTTTAGGAACATTGTGTTACAAGTGCCTACAGTATTCAGTACAGTAAGGTGCTGAGTGCTGTAGGCAATCGTAACCCTATGTCCAAGTTTGTATCCTAGGAGCAACAGGCTGCATTATATAGCTTAGATGTGTAGCAGGCTGTACCATCTAGGCTTGGGTGAACACACTTTATGATATTTGCAGAAGGACGATGTAAGGATGCATTTCTCAGAATGCATTCCCATTATTAAGTGATGCACGACTGTCCTATATGGTGGTGTGCTACTGTGCATCTCTTTACAATCTCATGGTTGGTAATGTCACATTGGTAGTTTGAAATTAGTCACAGTGAGAGTATTTATATTACAGAAATCAGTAAATGCTACAAATCAAACGTCCTGTTATTCCCGAGCCAGTAGCTAAACTTTTTGTTTTGTTTTTTGTTTTTTTGTTTTTTGTTTTTTTGAGATGAAGTCTCGTTCTGTCATCCAGGCTGGAGTGCAATGGCACGATCTTGGCTCACTGCAACCTCCACCTCCAAGTGATTCTCCTGCTTCAGCCTCCCGAGTAGCTGGAATTACAGGTGCCCACCACCATGCCCGGCTAGTATTTATATTTTTAGTAGAGATGGGGTTTCACTATGTTGGCCAGGCTGGTCTCAAACTCCTGACCTCAGGTGATCTGCCTGCCTCAGCCTCTCAAAGTGCCACTGTGCCCGGCCGCCAGTAGTAGCTAAACTTTTATCAGCACACTGCTGGTATCCATTCCAACTTTTTCTTAAGTGAAATAGAACTAGGGGAGAACAGTAGGAATAGTCAACTTTCCATGATTACATGTGCAGGTACATACCACCAAGCCATATGCCACCAAATCATTGCTGTCCAGAGTTTCCAACTAATCTATTGCTGATTTACTCCCTCTGTTTATCTGCTACTGAAATCAGTCTGACTCAGAAATGTAATTGTATGTGTGTTGGCAAGAACTCACACAAGAATACTATCTTCAAGAACAAAAACGCCACTGGATATTTGTATCATCCTTCACCACGGCCACAGAATTTGACGGATTACCTCATTAACTCCTCGCAACCATTGCTATGTTGAGTTTCATTGTCCCTGTTTGACAGGTGAGATTAGGTGATCTGTCCAAGGCCACATATCTAGTAAGTTGCATAGACAGGACTCAAATCCAGAAATCCAAATCTTGTATTCTTTAGACTTTACCACAGGTTATTGCTTTTATGCCAATCTGTCATGAAAATGGGACTTTTTTTTCAAAAGGTCAACATCTGGGCTCACTTCTCTCCTTCCTTTAGTTAGCAACGCAGCCAACTTTGAGGCACCCACATCTACGTTTACAAATACGAACTCCACCATCTAAGCTCCCTTCCTGCCCAAAGGCAGAAATTACATCCCCACTGCTGCAACGTCTTAGATAAATCAAATGCAAACACACTTCCACCTGAATTCCTAAAGATGTCCTAGGCAGGTGGGCATCATTAGGAAGTGTTTTATACTTTGTGTCTAAGTTATTCAAACCCAAAGAGAAGCCTAAGGCATCTAATTTAAATTCAAATAGAAGTAATCGTGAATAAAGAATCCAAGTTCTTGCACTTAATGGTGAAAATAATATATATGTATATGTGTATAGAGTTTATTTTACACACACACACATTTCATGAGGGGGAAAACAAACTATATACATACACATATACACGTATATATATGAACATGTGTGCACTCTCTATATACACATACATATGCACAAATACGTGTGTTTTGTGAGTGTGTATGTGTGTGTCTAGTTTGTTTTTCGCCTCCTCCAGGAGTTATACAGCAAAAAAGAAGAAAAAAATCCCTGCCTTTTATCAGATATGTACACATTTTATCCTTGCAATATGTCTAAAATGATTTTATGACTAAATCCTGGGAAAAATGTGAAGAATGCTTGGCTAGATGGCAAGCTTTTCCAGTAAAAACACAACACTGCTTATGAATTGTAGCACTTGGAGAAGACTTTTCAACATGATGTACATTTTTGCTCTAGCTTGAGACTAAATCCTGTTTGGAGGTAGGTTTTCTTTGGCTTTCAGAAAAAGTTGAACCGATTGTACAACATGGGTCTTTGGGCCCTCCAACGTGGACTCACCATGAGAGGACGATCGTGTGCTATTCCATTAAACATGCCTCCGTCTCACGACTCCAGCCAGGGTTAAAACCTTCAGATGTTTTCTCAACACATTAAGCAGAACTAACCATCACAAAGGCAAAAACTAAACCCATCTGTCCCCTTGTCAGGATTTTTGAGATTGTCAATGGACTGACCTTGTGGCTGGAAAACATTTTGGAGGCCGTGTAACAAAAGTTAAATGTGGCAGTGAATGCACAGAGAAATTCTTAGAGGTCACTAGTGAATTACTAACACCATTACCCTGGCAAGAGATGATGGAGTTTCCATTTTATCTCAGAGGTTTGGTGGGTGTATGGTGATGACTTAAAATGACGTTAGGCTACGTAGCCAACACTTTCTTGGAAAGGACTTTCCCTGCTGTTCTATTAAAACTGTCAGCAAATAGGGCCAAGGCGCTCACTGGTCTATGCCGAGGACACCTTAAAGTAATCAGGCCGTCAAATAAAGGCAAACACTTTCTCAACATTTCTAAAGACAGAAATAGCGAAAAGAGTGTTGCGTTCCAAGCATATCAGACTTAAGTCATTTCTGCCTCATGGTTCTAGAAGACAAGAGGTGGAGGTGGCAGCAAGCGGGGAGGGAAGACACATAATTCTCCTTCTAACCCTCTGGCTCTCAACCGGAAGCAATTTTGCTCTGCAAGGGACACCTGGAAGTGTCTGAGGACATTTTTGATTGTCACAACTGCCGGGTGCTACCAGCATCCAGCGCATAGAGGCCAGGAATGCTGCTAAATTTCTCCCAATGCACGGGACACCTCCACCCCCTCCATCTCCCTGCTTCCCCAAATAGGATGATCTGGGCCCCAAATGTCAACAGTGCTGTTGAGATTCCCTGCTCTAAAGGGAAGCAGAAAAGATCAGCTGCAGCCAGAGAATTTTCCATTGACCTTCTAACTGTTGCCTGGGCTCCTGGAGGACATCCTCTGAAGATGCTTGTTTCCTTGACCTAAACGCTAGCCTCACCATGGCCCACAGCCCAGCAGCATCAGCATCACTAGGGAGCATGTGGGAAATGCAGAATCTCAGGTCCCACCCAGACTGACAGAACCAGAATGTGCATTTCCACTAGAACGCTGGGGGCTTCCTAGACACTTGAAACTTTCAGAAGCACCAGACAGACCTCTCTCACCTATCCTTAGGTCTGTCTGTCCTTCTATTCACTCAGTATTAATTATTTCCACTCTGCCCTCTGAATACACAGTAATCTAGTAAAAAGTAGCTCTCTTCTTGCTTCAGCCTTTCCTCAGAACATTCTCTCCAACCCAGACTGTAACCTTGGCTCCCTGCAGACAGCCCTGTTTCTCCTACAGCCCTCTGAGGTGGAGAGAGCTCAACCTCCCAAGCCCCTGTTCAGGGCTCCGTGGCTACTTCCTCTATCCTCATTCGAAAATTCCTTCTCTTCTGACCACGTGGCCATGGCCAGACCACATGGCCATTGGCTTCCATTTATTGTTGCAAGGTACAAGTTTTCAAGCCAGTTCTAGGTACCTGGATCATGGCATTCCTATTTGCCCTCAACCCAACTGTGGAATTCTCCAGTGACTATGTGGATGACATCTTACACAAGAATTCCTGGTTCCTGAACCTTTTCTACAGTGGCAACAACCACATTCCCCTTCAGAACATTCATTTGTTAATCCAATATTTATGATGTGTCTCTTTCATATCTGACTGTGTGCTAAAGATATTAAGATTACCATATTGTCCTTGTTCTCAATGAGCTTACAGTCTAAAAGAGGGAGGGAGGGAGAAGTATTTTGGCACTAGAAGGAGCTTCGGGAATTACAAGCCAGAGAAAAGCTCAAAGAAGGTCATGGTCTACTTTTTGGCCATTTTTATTGGCTAACACTCCAACCCAGTAGTTCCCACATGCTGGTCTGAGAACCAGGGCCAATCCGTGGAAATGAAGAAAAATAAAGACAACATAGTAAATGTACCATAATATTAAATTTCTAGGACTTACTCTGATATTATATTATTTTCACTTTGGGGATGTTAAAATATCCCTTCCTTTTTAAAAAGATTAGAAAACTTATTTTAAAGTGTCCAGTGTCCTTACATTAAAATAAAGAGTTGACCCACATATGCTAGTACCCCATTAATTTTCTAAAACTCATCCTTGAAACCTGGAAGTGGCTTTCCAGGTCTACATGGGAGGGGCTTGCTTAGGCCAGGGACAGTCTGGTTGTAGCGAGGGTTGGCAAGACTTGCTTTGAAGCCACATTTGCCCGTCTCTTTACACAACATGGGAAGTCATTAATTGTTCTTCATAAAAGATTCAATGTGCCAAGTCAAGCCTGGGGGACCAGGCTCACACCTGTAATCCTGGTGTTTTGGGAAGCTGAGGCAGGAGGATCACTTGACACCAGGAGGTCAAGATCAGCCGGAGAAACAAGGTGAGACCCTTGACTCTAAAAAACATAATTTAAAAATTTAAAAAAAATAGCTGGGTGTGGTACATGTGCCTGCAGTCCCAGCTACTCAGAGGCTGAGGGTGGAGAATCGCTTGAGAGAGCTGTGGCTAGGACTTTTAGTTGGGGCAGATGAAATGGTCTAAGGTTAGACAGCAACAAAAACAACTTTGGCAGATTTTGCCTCCATTGGGAAGAGTGCTCCTGGTGGACACACTTTGAGTCTCAAAAAGGAAAATAATGTTGACTTTTAGCTCTTCAGTTCTCAGCAGTTACAACAAAAGTACTATGTTTATATCTCATGAGTGTAACTGAATATTTTTCCCCTTTAGGGTCAAGGGCTCTGTCTCAGGGATCACTTGTTTCTTAAATCTCAGGCTGCTACATTTTCTCAACCACCAGTCGTATTAGTCCATTTTTATGCTGTTGATAAAGACATACCCGAGACTGAGCAATTTACAAAAGAAAGAGGTTTAATTGGACTTACAGTTCCACATGGCTGAGGAAGCCTCTCAATCATGGTGGAAGGCAAGGAGGAGCAAGTCACATCTTACATGGATGGTGGCAGGCAAAAAATGAGAGAGAGCTTATGCAGGGGAATGCCTCTTTTTAAAACCATCAGATCTCGTGAGACTTATCCATTACCACGAGAACAGCATGGGAAAGACCTGCCCCCCATGATTCAATACCTCCCACCAGGTCCCTCCCACACACATGGGAGGTCAAGATGAAATCTGGGCAGGGACACAGCCAAACCATATCATCAGTTGATCTATATGGCTGGAAAAAACAAGACTTCTCGCCAACCACTGACAGTTTTTTTTTTTTTTTTTTTTTTTTTTTTTTTTTTTTTTGCTTCTAGTTCTAATGCTTGGTCATTAATTTCTCTAGAACTCAGAATATATTTGATGCACATTATTGACTGTTCTCCTTCCTTTTTATTTACCCTTTAATGTTTTCACAAAACAGGGACAATGTGCATAGGCCAGAGGATTTTATGGTTTTTCTAATTCGTTTTTAAAACTTACGAGACAACTGGCTTATAGCAATTTTCCAGTTAACAACACGAACACAACCCACAAGCCAAGAACAACAGAAGAGGAGAGACAGAAAGAACATAAAACATTACTTATGAGATCTTTCCCACTGCTTAGCACCAGATCTATAATGCATGCAAGGCTTAGCTGGAACAAATGATGAAAGCTGTTCCTCCTTTCAAGGGAGGATCATTTACATGGGCCCAGACCACTCCTGTTCTCATTTATTCAACTTCCAGCCCTCACTGACATTAACCAGGAGCAGAGAACATCTGGTGTCAGAACCAACTCCCGCTGTGCCCAGGGCTGTTGTCTCACTGTTGCAGAAAAGGCCAGAGGGCAAGGCTGCTTGGCTGAAGATGGGCCTCAGAGGTTCTGGGCTTTTTATGGAATTAGGCATGGGAAGCAGCTTTGCTCTCCTACATCAAACGTTATCTTAACTCCACAGAAAAAATTCACGAACTCCAAAACCTTCCTCTTGACAACCAGAGGAGGAAGGTGGTTTTAACCCAGTCTGAATTCAAATCTGTAGATAGTGAATTTTTTTTAACTCTCTTAAAACAGCGCTTTGAATTTTGAACATCTTGATTATATATACATACACATGTAGATGTGCACGTGTATGTATGTATGGATATAAATACATACGTCACACATGCACACACATGTACACACACATACACTCAGAAAGACTGGGACTCTGGCAGGAACCAGAATTCTGCCACATCCCAAACCTAGCAGACCAAGTTCAACTTTGGAAATGCATCATCACCTTCACGCCAGAATCACAAACACACGGGCAAGAGGTTGAAATCCCAGGTCCTCGGCTTCTCAGCTGACACATCAGAGTTTATGCGTTTTCTAAGAAGAGGAAGTTATTCAAGCTCTTTAAAAAAAAATTTTTTAAGACAGGGTCTCACTTTGTCACTCAGGTTGGAGTGCAGTGGTGTAATCTCAGCTCACTTCAGCCTTGACCTTCTGGGTTCAAGCAATTCTCCTGCTTCAGCCCCTTAAGTAGTTGGGACTACAGATGCATGCCAATACACCTGACTAATTTTTGTATTTTTAGTAGAGATGGGGTTTCGCCACATTGGCCAGGCTGGTCTCGAACTCTTGAGCTCAAGTGATCCTCACACCTTGGCCTCCAAAAGTGCTAGGATTACAGGCGTGAGCCATGGCGCCCGGCCCTAAGCTCTTTAAATGCAGCAACTTTCATACCATATTTATTACCCTGTCCCCTCCTGAGTCCCATCCTCTGACCACTTCATCTTCTTCTACCTCCAAAACTCTCCTCATCCTGAAAAAAAGCACAGACAGCAGGAATGGACAATCTATAGGTTGTGGGGCTGCATGTGATATTTCTGGCTTTCACGTTCTGTTCTTGAAGTAAGCTTAAAGACAATAACATACTCTCCCTGCTATGGTTAAAAGAATTCTTAGGATCTTTGGGAAAAAAAAAAATCTCAAAGTAAATATGACAATATAGAGACACTGGAGGGAGCTCTAAACATCTAGTGATAGGAAAAATGCTGAAATTATGTATCCTAAAATTGAAAAGTTACTGCTTTGTGGGATAATATGGTAAATTCTGGCTTTTAGTCATCTCTGTGCCCATTCTTAATACTGATTCAGAGCAGAAGATAGTTAACCATATCAACGTGTGTGCATGCGGGGCAGGAGGTGGGGGGAGCAAATAAAACTATCTTAAACATATGACTCTTTACCCAAAAAAGGAGGCCATTTATTCTTGGCTTCCACAGGGCCTCTGAAAAGTATACTCTGAAAATATTTTCTTGGAGAGTTCTTTAAAGCAGAAAGATTTAAGAGGCAGGAACATAACAAAGGAAGTACTGGACCAAAGTGAGCCTTGTTTGAACTGAGCATGTTTTGTTTTCACATTTTCCACTAAAAGGTGCTTTGTCCTTTGGGAGGAATGTGCCCTCTTCATCCCACCTTTCCCTCCCAGAGCCCCCAGCAATGAGAGGGCGTCTGGTTCACATCTGTCAGGTCCAGAACCTGACTAAGCACAAGTTCTGTCCTGATGGGACTCAAGAGATGCTGAGTGAGGGGGCATTTTGACACCCTTGGGGTTCCTGTCACGCTCAGCTTCCTGCTCGACTTTTACCAGAGTCTGCCTGGTAAAGTCTTTCCTCCAGTTAAGGTCCCTGGGTTGTATTCAAGCTGTCCCCAGCCCCCACCACATGTGCACCATACGCACATGCACGCGCACTCGCGCGCGCGCACACACGCACACACACTCCACGTTGTTAGTTTTCTGGGTCATTTCCTGTGAAATGTCACTGTTCCCTCTTTAGTGGCCGGATCTCAGCCTGGGAGTCCGACTGAGAGCAAGGGGCTGTCGGTACAGCCTGGGGAGAGGGTCCCACCCCCACCTCACACCAGATTTTGTATTAATAATAATCACGTCTCCACTCACCTGTTTCTAGCCTGGGAAACTTTCTTCCTTCATTCAGCACTATTTATTGCACACCTAAAACATTAATGCTACTGTGTGGGGCTTGGAAGATGTCCTGGTGTTTGGGTACTTTCTCAGAAGCAAGACTTTCTCATTTGGGTCTCTGAATATCAAATGTGACCAGCCAACAAGTATGTACATTTCAGTCCCTCACCTTTTCCTGGAGAATAGAGTTTGATATGAACATTAAGTGGATTTACATCAGTGCTCCTCAGCACACACGACAGAAAATATATCTGCTCTGGACTAATAAGTATATCACAGGCACAAACAACTCTGTAGCCAACTTTTGATTAAAGACACAGTCTCTACCATTAAGGAGCAGCGCATCTATATCACACCAATAAAAGCCAAGAGTCCTAGCAGTTTGCTACAAACGACTACGTAGTGAGAGTTAGGAACTATTCTGGATTCTGTATTTTATCCTAAAGACCTTTATTTAAATTTTCCAGCCTATCTCCTTCCCATTCCACTCAGTCTCATTTGACATTGCTTCCCCCAAGTCCACTGTGATGTCATGCACCTTGTGGATGGCAATGATCTGTGCTATAATTCAAAATGCTCTCAGGGAGCTGGGAGCAAAGAGAAAACACATTGGTGATGCAGGAAGCAATAAAACAATCTGTTTGAAAAGCACAGGTTTCATAAAATGTTAGCGCTGGAATGGAAGCGATTTCAGAGATGAACTCTTGCAAGCACTCTGGCGGCCGAAGCATCCAAATTCCTGGTTGCTGTGGTTGGCTGGAGGAGTCTACAACCCCAACTCCTGCCTTTGACTCTTATCATAGACTGCTTGCAGCTCATCCTGTCCTTGGACTTGCCTAATATTTGTGCATACCATGTGCGAAGTACTGCTAATGTCCTTTACGCTCATGAAATCAGTGCTCAGCTGAAGACATTAAATTTACTGGCGGTGAAAGAAAAGTCGGGAAATGGAAAGAGGTGCTGGAACGGGGGCTGGGAAGGAAGGCCGCACTGCAGTGCTCTTGGTGGGGTTAACTCTGCTCCCTACTGCTTCATGAAATGCCAGTGTATGAACCATAGCATGTGAAGGACCTTTTACTGCACAATGTTCACTCTCAGAAAGAAAATACTATAAACCTGTGTTTGAGCTATTTCTCTTGCTTTCAATGCAGATTTAGCTGATTGTTCAACGTGAGGTCTTAAAACAACCCTCTCTCTTCACAGCCTTATCTTCTTTTCTCTCTCTTTTTTCTCCCTATGACTTTCCTTCATTAAGTTAAAATGAGAGACTAAAAAAGTGGAACATGTGAAGGAATGATGAGGTCAACAGCATTCTCAGATTCCTTTCTCTCTAAATTAATCATACCAAGGAGAACCCAAGTTAAATAATTTTTTCAAGAATCTAAATAAAACTTTAAATAAAGCTTTATTTGGTTTTACTCACAGCCAACCAATAATTGAGTCATCTCTATTTTTAAAGTAATGTGAAGATCAGTTAGTTCAAACCTAACGGATACCGGGCATTCATAACTTTTGAGGGCATTACTAGACACCCTATTTCCTTAATGTAAAAAGTAAAGTAGAGGTTCCTCTTCAAAGATTTTCCTCCCCATCTAATTAGGAATTAATAGTACTTTCTCTTAGAAGCAAAATTTATTCAAAGACCTGTGCTAACATTCTTAAATATCTGCTAGCTGTAATAAAGAAATCAATGTACTTTATGTTCTTAGCTCCCACAATTTAGCCTAAATATTTACCCTAGCATGCTTATACTGGTCCAAGCAAGCATTAGGTCATAGCCTGTTCCTCTTCCTTATTTGAAGGTTTTTTACCTTTCTCAGCATTTCACAAGTTACTTCCTCCTTCCTTTGTTCTCTTCTGCTTTTGCTGCTTTTAAAAAGTTCTAAGCTGCTAGCCATTCGGGACAAATACAGAATGTGAGGTCCCATTCCAGCCAATGGAAACTGGACATAGCAGTAGGGTGGACGCGTCAGGTTATAATGACCCTGTCTCCTTTGTTCCGTGTACTCTTGTGGCAAAACTGCTGGCAAGTGTACCCTTTCTGCAGAAAGTAAAAATGGTCTTGCTGAGGAAATTAAATTTATGTTCAAGGTCTATTTCTTTACAGCACCAAAGAACAAGCATTTCTAACACTTAAGATGTGTACTATGGAATCAGATTTGTAAAAGTTCACAGCGGCAGGAGACTAGTGATCATCCATGAGGAAGTTATAGCTCAGAGAGATAATGGGCATGCCTGAGATCACAGAGTAATGACTGTTAACTTGGCTTCATTTTAAAAGATTGTGTTGTGGGCACTACCCTTATCTTAAAGTCTTAACTTCATGTTAATGAAACAAATACATTATTAAATTTTTTAAATGTTCTCCTCTAAGGATATGCCTTTATGATTCAAAATAATATGGTCGGAATGAATGGGAAGGATACTGCTGTGTCCACCAGTGCCTAACTGGACATTTAAATGGCAGAAGCTCTTCTTCCAATGGCACATTGAAATCACTGAGAGATGACCTTCTCATAGTAAGGCTGTCCTAAGGAATATGTTGAAACATGCTCCTCAAAAGTATCTGTATCAACTTTTGGATGCTGAAGCTGGTTTTACTCACAACATCTGGTTTGCTTATATAGCATATCAATTCAATTAGATATTAAAAGGTACTTATTTAGTTGGTGAAGTTGAAATGCAGAGAGGAGACTAAAATTCCCAGGGGCACAGTTGTGGAGTTAGGCTAGAAAGCTGTGCTCTTAAATCCCAGGCCAGTAGCTTTTCATCATTAGACTATGTAGCTAGAAGCCCCATTGGAGGGTCTGAGCTGCAGACACACGGTTAACCCAGGCAAATCAGGTCTCATCTGGGCATCTCTGGATACGTCTGGGTGGCCTGTGAAGTGGATGGATGTTCTGTTTGTGTGGAGGCCTGTTTGATGAGCCTCCTGGAAGAAAAAGAAACAGGCAGTGACAGGAAACCTGCCAGGGATAATGGTGCCATGTGGTATCTGAAGTCCAGTAATTCTTCAACCTTCTTAGCAGCTTGCTGTGTGAGGAAGGAACTGACCCAGAGTGGTTGGGTTAAGGTGCATCTGCTAGGCATGCGGGATTGGGGGCATGGGGGTGTCAACAACAGGGGATATAACATTAGGAATATCTACCAACCCAGCCCCTTGGGGAGGGGTGCAGGAAGAGACCGTGGGGCCATAAAGAACCTGAGGCCACCATGTTTTGTGGTCTCAGAAGAGAACTTTCACCACTCAGGAATAGAGAGGACACATATCCCTGCTGTACTTGGCAACAAAATAAAAGAAGAACCGATCATCAACCCTCATGACATCACAGGGCAGAAACGGGAGTTGATAATAACATTCGAGAAGGGGGTCTGGGGCCTTGTGAAATCTCAGTTACTTCGTGTCTCCTTTAAATAAACTATAGTTATTTTAAATAGTGGCCTCACCAAAGCCTGCTTTCACACTGATTTCTCCCATTTCTATATCCATTCCATTATTAAGTATGTTAAAGAAGTATTGTCTTAAATACTTTCCTTCATCAAGTGAGAACCCTGGAAGAAGATGAGAATGAGGAACATGATGAGGATGGTAAAAAAAAAAAAAAAAGTTAACAGTAACTCAGGCCTATCATCTGACAGGCACTAAGTGTGTATCACGTATTTTGTCACTTACAACCTTTTCAGGGTTTTAATGATAAGGAAAGTAAGGATAATGTGGTTAAATAACTTATGCAAATTGAAAAACATTTGACATTTATTTTCTCACAACTAATAAGTAGCTGAAGTAGAACTTGAACCCAAGTGTGTTTAATTCCAATTTTAAAAAACCTGTTTTTTAGAGTTGAGGTCTCTGTCATCCAGGCTGGAGGGTAGTGGCATGTTCTTAGCTCACTGCAGCCTCAATCTCCTGGGTTCAAGCGATCCTCCTGTCTCAGTCTGCTGAGTAGCTGGGACTACATGGATGAGCCATCATGCTTTGCTTAATTCCAAAATTTAATTCTTACCTTGGCACCCAAGAGGGTGTTTGGCACACAGTAGGTGCTTCATAAAAATTGGTGACTGAACAAATAAAAAGAATACATGGGTTCTAAGGTTTAGTCAATCAAATGGTGCAATGAGCCTCATTCTTCACCTAAACTGGTTAAGTATACCTCAGTCATTTAACCTAATAGAAACAGTCATTATAATCAAATAATGTCACAGGATCGATATTTCCTGCTAAGGAATAAATGACTCGGACTTGCTTTGACATTTATTTTCTAAAACTTACTCAGTTTTGCCCCGATATTTATACATCAGCAGGAGATGGTTACCCCGAGAAGCTGCTCTGTTCCACACAATTGCCTTAGCGTCTGTCCTCTTTATGAAACTAAAAAAAAAAAACCACAGTAACTGTAGTTGTTATGAGCACCAACATTTTAAGTCTAATTAAAAATTTGACTTGCTGGCCAGGCACCGTGGCTCATGCCTCTAATCAAAGCACTTTGGGAGGCAGAGGCAGGTGGATCACTTAAGGTCAGGAGTTCAAGACCAGCCTGGCCAACATAGTGAAACACTGTCTCTACTAAAAATACAAAAATTAACCTGGCGTGGTGGCTCACGCCTGTAGTCTCAGCTACTCGGGAGGCTGAGGCAGGGGAATAGCTTGAACCTGGGAGGTGGAGGCTACAGTGAGCTAAGATCGTGCCACTGCATTCCAGCCTGGGCAATAGAGTAAGACTAGGTCTCAAAAAAAAAAAAAAAAAAGAACTCGACTTGCCGTTTATGCAATTTCAAAAGCTGGCTTTTGTAGGTCTAAAATTGTTGTAAGACAATTTTAAAAGCTTCCAGACGTGCAGAATCTGGGGCTCTTCTTTGCCCCCCACCCCACAGCCTCACATGTCTTGGTTTGCGGCTTTTAAACAGCGAGTTCTAGAGAAGTTCCACAAAACTGTGCTCCACCTGCTGGCCTTCTGGGGAAGCTGCGTCTGGGCTGATGATGCTGGTTGCGGGTTGAGCGAAAACAAGGAACAGATTTGAGTTTGTCCAAAGCATGCTTGGTACTTGAAAATTAACCCTTCAAGACTGGGCATGTGTCCAGTGATGCTCTGAAGCTGGCAAAGATGAGCATCAAATCACCAGACGTGCATGGAGAGCATGAGCTGAACGACCGTCGTGATAGGCTTGGCAGAGGATGAAGCAGAGGGTGGCACCGGAGCCCTACCTGGGTGCTGGCACTGCCTCGGCCTCTTGCTTACTATGACGCCGTGTGAATCACAGCATCTAGCGGCCCTCCTTCCCCCTTACTATGACTTCCAATTTTGAAATACTGTGACTCTGCTGTGTACTTAATTGACATCTCTTTCTGAAGGAATTTACAATCCAGTTGATGATGTAAGACCCACTATCATAAGCCAATTAGAGAACCAAACAAGTGCTGAAGGGACCCCTATGGAGGCAGAGAACCTGAAATGAACAGTGAAGACTAAATCTGACTTACAAAGGTGAGGAGCAGGGAGTACATTTCTTTCCTAATGCTTGCACTGGGATTTCTGACGAATACCTCAGAGGCTATGTTGGGCTTTTTCTGATGTAGCGATATTTTGGAGATTATGGTTCAACCAGTGATTTGTCTAAACCTGTTTGAGGATTCTTTCTAACATATCATTCCCTTCCCTACATAAAGATAATATGCAAAAAATCCAAAAGGGTGCAATCATTTGTTTTACTAGAATCTTCTTTATGTTCTAAAGTCTTAATCATGCATTTCTTTCAAATTGTGAGCCTCCAATGAACTACAAGCTTGTCAGAATTACATCTATTCAGGTCATATACAACATCCGTGGAGCAAAGTGAATTTGAAGTTAAGTCTCCTCTTAGTGTAGCAGTACGTATTTTGAATGAGAACGGCCAGTGCTAAAGATGGAAAATAGGTGGGTGGCCAGGCACAGTGGCTCACGCCTGTAATCCCAGCTCTTTGGGAGGCCAATGCAGGCGGATCACTTGAGGCCAGGAGTTTGAGACCATCCTGGCCAACATGCTGAAACCACGTCTCTACCAAAAATACAAAAATTAGCCGTGTGTAGTAGCACATGCCTGTAGTTTCAGCTACTTGGGAGGCTGAGGCAGGAGAATTGCTTGAACCTGGGAGGCGGAGGTTGCAGTGAGCTGAGATCACACCACGGCACTCCAGCCTGGGTGACAGAGTGAGACCTCTGTGTCAAAAAAAAAAAAAAAAAAAAGAAAAGAAAAGAAAAGAAAAAGATGTAAAATAATTTGAAAACAAAAGCCTAAAGATGCTTGCTGAAATCAGCTATTAGTCTGTTCTCTTCAGGAAAATGACATATTATGCATAATTAATAATAATAATAACATAACTAATTTTATGTCTTATTGACTCTAAGGTATGGCTATCTCTATTTACTACTACCTCATATGACTTTAATATTGATATTGAATTAAAGTCAGTGCAAGATCTGTAGTACATTAGTAAGTATGCAAAAATGGGAAATTGAAGCCCTGTTTATAGGTGGTACTCAGAGAAGGCCCAGGGTTGTTGGTGCCAACTGGAAAAAGTTTATATCTGATTATATTAATAGCAACATTGATCTGGCATTTTGCCCTGGCATAGTTTTTTACCTTCTTGAAGGTTAAAAAAAAAAAATCTCCCTGGCTGCATCAGGATTTAAGACATTGGGGAGAAAGAAAGGATAAAGAGGGAACAAGGGCAAAGATGAGGATCATTGAAGACGTTCAAGGATAATTAAACTTCTGCCCATAGCTGGCCTGGGGGAGAAATGAATGTCACCGTAGTATGGATGTGGCTGGCTCACAGTGTGAAGAGAGAAGACCTTGTTTCCAGTCATTCACAGCCCTGTTGAGATATACCTTCATGCCTAATTCCTTCACCCTCTGAAGTCCAACATTATTTAATTGATAAGATATGCCACATATCATCTTGTCCTTTGTGTTTAAGTTGTTCTTATTAATATGTATGTCTTATCTCCCTTAGTAGATTGTCAGCTTCTTGAGGTTATCTTGAATGTTTTAACTCAGCTCTCTCTCTCGCACTATCTTGCTTAGGGAAGACACCCAATAAATATTAGTTGAAGACATGACCAAGTGCATGAAGTACTGTATAGGCTTGCTAAATAAGGGCAGTAAAAATGCCATTGGATCTTGTAGGCAAATTCTGAGGTTGTAACGGATGAAATTAATATAAATGTTGATTCACTGAATTGTGAACTATAGAATATGAACCCTGTCAATAGGAGAAACCTTTCTAAAAGCCTTCTTCTTTGTTGTGCATGTTTTTAGGGATTCAGTCCAGAACTTTCACCCGGAAACTCAAAACAAGAAATTTAGTTTGAAATAAATCAGGTCTTAACAAGTGAGAGACTATTAAGATTAACAGACTGTCTTGGACAGCCTCCTGCGTGTCCCTTATCATCTAAAGGGTTACTACTAGACTACATCCTTTTCTGCTTTATCTCAGAGGCCCATTAAAGCATGTAACCAGACTGCTCAGATTCATACTATACTAATTTTCTCTTTCCAAAAGAAACCAAACAACAAAATAAAACTCCACCAAGTGACTAAACTAAATTCAAATATCCATACAATTCTATCCACGGCAACAGCGTCAGTTTCTCAGAAATTTCATTGCCAGGCTCCCCCACTTCAATGGACAATAGAAGAAAATGTGCCTCAATGTCGCAAACTTCAGTGCCGCTCAAGGAGCTAATTAAATCTCCTAGGATGCCCTCACCCACACCCTAAGAAATTTGAAGGGTACGCAAAATCCAAACTCAATTCAACACCATTAAAATAAAAGGCCTTTACATATAAAGCTTAATCTTGACTTTCTTTGTCCTTTTCTCCCCACAAAGTAGTAGATTTCCAAATTCCCCAAAGGTCATGAGTTTGGCAATGGAACAATGGCATCCCCAGAGTGACTGCCTTGGGGAGAGAGTTTGCTCCTCTCTTGGCCATGCCGTGGGGGCTGTTGTCTCTCTTGGGAGCTGCAAGCATCATCAAAGTGGATGAGGGCTGGCCACAGCAAGAAGTATGGTCTCTGTCCTATAGTTTTCTAGTGTTAGGGTGATGAGGTCTCTATCTATTCACAAGAAGAAAAAGAGTCATCCTAAACCATTCCCAAACTATGTTAGAAATGAAGAAAGGGGAAGGGAAATAGCACTTGCTGAGCACTTCGTTTAAATGTGCCAGTCATTATGCTGCATATTTTATATTTAATCCTCACACAACCCTACAAAGTAGAAATGATGACTCTATTTAAAGACAAACTGAAACTCAAAAGAACTTCCTCGAAATGATACAGTTAGCACATTATGGATGCAGAATTCAAACCCAGGCCTGTCTAGTTCTTAAATCCGTGTTCTTCCCATATACCATGCTGCCTCTCAAAAGGAAACACTGTTTTTGTTTTTTTTTTAAGGTACAAATATAGTTTGTGCATTTGGAAGAAGATGCGGCTCGGGACCCATTCTTTTTGTTATAGGCTTGTGCTATAAACATCCATCTTACTCTTAGTTTGACCTTTGTGCCGTGGGCTCATGTCTGTAATACAGGAACCCAATCATTTCTGAAAGTCTGTCTAACAGTGATATTGTGTGCAGCAAATGTTTAATGAATGGATGAGTGAATGTGAATCAATGGGTGGGGGAATAAATAAATAAATGAATGAATGAAAGTGAAACTGACGAGCCCATACTGGGACTGAATCGGCAATGTGGGCCTCCTGAAAGCACTGCATGTTAATCACTACTTTTTTGAGCTTTGTGACATGATGTTTGGGTGTCTGGAGAAAAATCCTGTGTGGTGGTGGTCTGGGCTTTTTTACTGACGCAATGGCCCACCTGATATAATTTTGATTTCCATCAGCCACTAAACTTAGCCTGAAGACAAAATTTCCTTTGAAAGGATTCAGCTTAGGGGAACAGATAATAAGGAGGTGGTTATTTGGGGAAACAAGAGTTACTTTACATTCCTATAACATATTTCTAAAAATGAAACATTCTCAAAGCTGGAAAGTAAGGAAAATCAAACATTGCTCTACTTGGGGTTTTGAAAATGGAACATTGATTGTTTGTAAAAGTGATGCTTAATTTGGAGGATAAGAAGCGAACTTCTTTCTATAGCCTCAAGGAGCTAATTAAAATGTGACACGGCAGTGATTATATACTTAGAGGTATCGATAGGTCCTCATTTTTCCACAGCACAGATAATCTCACGCCAGCTCTCACCTATATTAAGTGTTAGACACTTGGTACAGGAACGGATTTCTGCTCTTCCCTATCTCTCACTGTTCAGGGACCTTTGGTCAGTTCCTCAGCATATTGTACCCTAAATGAGGTGATGAGACAGCATCGAGCCAACTGAACTATCAGAGAGTGAGGTCGTAATGCTTATCGGTCACTGTTAAAACCCATCCAACCCATTTTGGTATGATTCTTGCAGTTACTAAGGCCTGGCCTTCATTCTCTCTCCACTCAGAATTCACTTTAAGCTATTATAAGAAAGCTAAAGATAAAACAGCTTCTGCATAATGAAACACTAATCCCCAGAGTGTGACGCCCACGACACAAATGAATGCTAGACAGAAGATAACCAAATGTCTAGACTTATTCAAACCTGCTTCTCATAGTTCAAACTTGTACTCACTGCTTCATCAGCTTATGAACCATAAACTGATTTAAAAACACACATGCAAAACTGAACAACAACAACAAAAAAACGCTAAACCCAGTAGAGCCTCTTCACTCAGGCCTTTTTATTTGAGTTTATCTATCCGAATGCAGTAATGCCTCCTTAAGCAGACACAGCTTACTGAAAATATACACAATTTGTAGCATCTGAAAGAGAATATGGCCTTTGTCCTTCTTTCTACTCAATATGTTGGTGGACTGGAATGTTTCCAATGTAGTCAATTTTTCTGGCTCTTTAAAATTAAATTAATAAAAGTATACAATTTAAGGATCTATAGATTTGTGTTCAGCACAATGGACTAAAAGTTGAGCTACTGGATTCTAGAACAAAATGTCACTTATAATTAGCTGAGTATATATGACATCTCAGGCATTGTACCAAGGGCCCAGAAAATTACCTCATTTCATTTTTATAATTTTCAGAAGCACCCACTTTCCTAGCTAGGATACCTACCAATTGTGTTCTTGGGCAAATTATCTTCTATCTTGGTTTGTACAACAGAAGAAGAAATTATTTTAAAATATATGGAATATAATAAAATAGAAATTTGGCCAATTAATTAATATTAGGCAGTGAAACAATAAGTGGTTTTTTTGTTTGTTTGTTTTTGGTTTTTTTGAGACAGGGTCTCACTCTGTCGCCCAGACTGGAGTGAAATGGTGCGATCTCGGCTCACTGCAACCTCTGCCTCCTGGGTTCAAGAGATTCTCCTGCCTCAGCCTCCCGAGTAGCTGGAACTACGGCACCTGCCACCATGCCCGGCTAATTTTTTGTATTTTTAGGAGAGATGGGGTTTGGCCATGTTGGCCAGGATGGTCTCGAACTCCTGACCTCAGATGCTCCACCCTCCTTGGCCTCCCAAAGTGCTGGGATTACAGGCGTGAGCCACCGCGCCCAGCCCAAGTGGTTATTATTTCAACACAGAAGTCCTTGTTTACCCGAAGCAGCTGGGAAATAGGGCTTCGCATAAAACCAGAGCAGAAGTAGCAGAGAAAGGGACCTGTGAGTGAGTCCTGCCTGGTTCTCGGCTCACACTAGTCCAGCCTTGGGAAAGAGCTGGGACACCACAGGTAACCACCTTAATTTACCCTTTGCCTGTCTGGCGAAGACAAAGTAAACTGAGTGCCACTTTTATTAATGGGAAACCATCTTACTTATAGCAAAAACAAATGCTCAAACCTCATTCATTCTGCGGTTATCTGGATCCTTCATGCTGTAGGTAGGGAACAGAATGGGGCTCTGAGAGCTCCCTCCTCCGCGCCTCTGCTGGGAGCAAAAATAATCTCAAAACAGGAAAAAGAAGGAGGGGAAATTTTTAATCGTTTTTTTCCCTCCCTTCAGAATGAGTGGGGAGAATTATACATGGGCAGCTACATATGAGCCAGTACATATAAGTCAATAATGCAAACAGGATCGTCAGGAAAGTGTTTAATTTATTCACAAGAAGAACTACCAAGCTTTCAAAAAAAAAAAAAAAAAACCCAGGCTTTCTTCATCATCCATTTTGCAGTCAGTGTGCTGATAACAAATGGTCATTATCTAGTTTCTGGAAAGTAATGTCTATGAATTGGAAAAAAAAAATTGGTCAATAATTTATATGGCTATGTATACTTGAAGTAATGCAACTTATTTTCTTAGAAGGATCTCTCAATATAGATTAAATTAATGTAAAATGTAAAATGACTTCCTCCTAAAAAATCTAAATTAGAGAGATTTTATTGGCTCAATAATTAATACTGCATCACACATCTACTTTCCTCTCTGCCTTCTATCCCTGTGGCCTTTTACAGACAAAGCTTTTGCTATAACCATGGAGCACACAATAGTGCAAACTATAAAATATAAGAAAGTACAATACCTGCCTTACAGGGCTGTTGTGAGGACCTAATCAGACAATGCATGAAAAGTACTAAGTATAGTCCCTGGCCCAGATTAAGTATTCATAAATATCAACTGTAATTATTATTCCTTTTATATAAACTTTTATTTCATAGGGAGATGTTTCCTAAAGAAATCTCCTACTCATCTTGCTCGTACACCCTAAACGTTTAAAATAATCTCACTGTATCCAATACCTCTGACCCCTCTGAATCCCATCACATTTTCACCGCTTAGTTCATGGTTCCTATCTCTTCCTCACTGTGTTACAGCCGAGCTGGTACACACTGGAATTCCTGAATTCCTCTAGTAGGCCTTTAGTTTCCATAAAGCAGAAACCCCATACCGTGTATCATTGCATACTCAGTAGAATGTGGCTTTTATCTTGCATGGTGTAGGCTTTTAATAAGTATTTATTGAATGGATACATGAAGATATGAGTGAATAATGGAATAAATCCTGGGGCTCAACAGGCACCTAACCCTACAATATTTCTAATGTTTTGTCAACTTCCCCTAAGATATTATTTTATTTATTTTTTAGAGATGAGGTTTTGCTCTGTTGCCGAGGCTGGAGGGCAGTGGTGTAATCATAGATCACTGCAGCCTTGAACTGCTGGGCTCAAGTGATTCTCCCACCTCAGCTTCCCCAGTACCTGGGACTACAGGTATGCATCACCATGCTAGGCTACTTAAAAAAAAATTTTCTTTTGAGACAGGGTCTCACTATGTTGCCCAGGCTGGTCTTTAACTTCTGACCTTAGGCAATCCTCCTGCCTCAGCCTCCCAAGTCACTGGGATTACAGGCGCAAGCCACCACACCAAGCCCAATCAATAATAATTTCCAAGTTATGGCTTTTAATGGAAAGCAGAATAAGAAAGTCTTTCCTGATGTCTACTTCATCAAGTAGAGAGAGGGAGTTACAAGTTTCTTATTTTTTTTTTTTCTTGAGACGGAGTCTTGCTCTGTCACCCAGGCTGGAGAGCAGTGGCACGATCTCGGCTCACTGCAAGCTCCGCCTCCCAGGTTCAAGCGATTGTCCTGCCTCAGCCTCCCGAGTAGCTAGGACTACAGGCGCCCACCACCATACCTGGCTAATTTTTTGTATATTTACTAGAGACGGGGTTTCGCCATATTAGCCAGGATGGTCTCGATCTCCTGACCTCGTGATCCCCCTGCCTCGGCCTCCCAAAGTGCTGGGACTATAGGCGTGAGCCACCACACGTGGCCACAACTTTTTTTTTAATGGCCTAATCTGTTTCTCAGCATACGAACACTGTATCTCACTCCCAGACAACTGATGCCATTCATGCTTGAAGAAGAAATCCATGACCAGGTACCAAAGAAGGCTAAATATAAAGGCAGTTTTCTACCTGCCACTACCCTAGTTCATCCTCGAAGATTTGGTTCAAAAGTTAGCCTCTCAAAGGCCCTCCATATTATTCCACCCTGAACCTCAGAGCTCTTGAGGTTAAAAACTATGAGAAGGAATGGATGAGTAAATCAACGAATGAAGGTAAAGCATGTTGTTTGAGACAGGGTGATTAATGGGAGCATGGTCCCAACGCTCTGGTGTAGCAAAAGATTGAGAAGTGAACACTGTTGTAGAGCTACGAAAAGATATTTGGCACATAATAGGTGCTTAAAATGCTCATTAAATGAAAGAATTAATGCATAACCCTTCCTACTGAATGTTTGTGTCTAGAAGATGCACTGTCTCAAACTATTCCCATTATAAAAGTAAATATTGTTCCTGTGTACAATTAGTCCCTTCCTCTAGACTATTAATCCCTGGCTCCTGGCAAAAACTCCTTGCATTTGTACAGAAATGGAATCGGTTTTTGGCCACATTAAGCGATACTTCTTTCCTTAAGCACATCAACTCCCTCTGTGGCTTTCAGGAATGCTTAGCCTTTGGAATAAAGTAGAAAGTACAGAAATCCACTGGAATACATGGCCTGGCACATGTCAAATCAAAGAAGGAATAGAGAAGCAGGGAGCATTCATGAGATCTGAACAGTCTGACCATGCAATACTCCTTTTTTTTATTTTATTTTATTATTATTATACTTTAAGTTTTAGGTTACATGTGCACAATGTGCAGGTTAGTTGCATATGTATACATGTGCCATGCTGGTGTGCTGCACCCATTAACTCGTCATTTAGCATTAGGTATATCTCCTAATGCTGTCCCTCCCCCCTCCCCCCTCCCCCCACCCCACAACAGTCCCCAGAGTGTGATGTTCCCCTTCCTGTGTCCATGTGTTCTCATTGTTCAATTCCCACCGCAATACTCCTAACGCTAATAATTGTAGGTGTTAATGGTAACAATTTGTTATAAATGATACAACATATTTCTATTTGTTCCTTAGCTTTCAAGCATTCGCTTGATGTCATGGTCTGAAATTTGGCCAAGGTGTTCCTATTTTCAGGCCTCGATATGCCCACAGATGCTTCCCTGGTTATCCTTCATTGAACCAACTCCTCCACTTACTAGCTGTGTGACTTTGTACAAGTAAGGTAACCACCCACCCTAAGCCCCAATTTCCTTTTCTGTTGAATAAGGGTAATGATGGTACATATGTCTTACAACTGTCATGAGCTTTTTGTATTGTTTTCTTCTTTGAGATGGGTTCTTGCTATGTTGCCTAGGCTAGGCTCAAACTCTGGGGCTCAAGTGATCCTCCTGCCTCAGCCACCCAAGTAGCTGGGAGTACAGGTGCATGACACTGCACATGGCTTCCCATGAGCTTTTGATGAACTGCTGCATGTAAATATTTTAGCACAGTGCTTGGCACATAATACATGTTCAATAAATGTTATCTATTCCAATCATTATTATAATTAATAGCCAATCCTATTCTTATGATAGTTCTATCACTGTCTACTCATTTGCCTGGTAATCATATACTCTTTGTATTTTATAAATATATACATTAATATATTTTATAAATATTTTTATAATATTTTGAGTAATTTAAAATGCCCAAATGGCTGTTTTCTTGTGATACAACCATGGAGTACTTTCCAGGGTGGGTATGGCAGTGTGCAAAGGAAAAGGCCTGGCCCTGGGCAGTGCTATTTTCAGAGTGTGTGAGGGCCAGGCTGCACCACATCCCATATTTCCCTTTGAAGAAATCAGCCAACGTAACAAGCAAAGGTGCCAGGGAGGCCTTGAGGGTACCAGTGTACAGGGGACACTGCTACATGTGCATGCTGAGTGGCTGCCCGGGTCTGCCTTTGTGTACTAGGGGAATGTGTGGTGAGGCTGGAGGGGACAGAGCTGGCCACCTGTGAGAAGGACTCTCAGGGCTGCTGTCATCATTTGGCAGAGTCCATCCTTCTACTCCAACCCAACCTCACTCTCAGGGAGGGGACGGATGAGGACCGCTCATCCTATCATCTACAGGGTTTTTAAAGTGTGGGTCCTCATTCTCTGGCCTGGGTGGCCATGATCCGAGGGCATTTTGTTCTGGTGCACAGATACAAAGACTGGGGATGGGGAGGACAGTAATCTTTTATACAAGGACACATGAACCACCACACTGGTGCCTTAGAGAACATAGGCAACGAATACTCTGCTGCAGCATAAGTGATCGAAAGTCACACGTTAATGCAAATTATGTAAATCCTCACTAAATGATTTGAATAGAAAGGAAATCACCATAGCACCACTGTTCTCCATAACGTGAGCTGCAGTGTTCTATGCTGCATTTTACTTCCCCGGTATGAGGGCAGCTAGAGAGATGGTGGGATGACTTTCACTGTCTCTGGGGACCTTCAGACAAATTAGCTATCTTGTGAACAGTCCCAGGATGCCAACTTTCTAAATAAACATCAAAATGCATTTACTGTCTGTATCACTTAAGAGGTTGAGAATGGAGGGGGGAGCCTAACTGCAAACATTTGCGTGTTTTTATTTAACAATAGCTTAGCTATTAGACAATATAGAGTATTAGAAAGACTGTCTTAGAAGACTGAAGAGGTGAAGCTGGTGTTCTGAGTATGTCTACACAGCCTGCATAGAGGCAGATGTATATAAATGATCATGTTACTCTGCCTAAAATGGATAAAACTCGGAACAAAACAATCCACATTTAGTAATACCCTGAAGCTGACTCTAATTTGTATTCACTGTGACAACTCCTTACTTTCAAATCTGAAGTAATTATTAGAAAGTGAGAAAACAGACATTACTTTTGGGAAGCTGGGAGATGGCTTTATAGTCTAAGTTGCCACTAGATAGAATGACCCATAAAAATTACTTGGAAGGCTATTATCTCATAACCGGGGCCTATAAAATCTAACAGTTACAGATTCTCTCTCTCTCTCTCTGTCTCTCTCTCTCGTGTGTATTTTAATTAAAGACTTAAACTGCTAAGAGACAAAACTGAAAACATGTACGTAATCCAATTTTGCATAATGTCTCTGCGGTTTTGTAGTTGATTTTCCCCATCTGACCCTGACTTACATGTGATACACACACATTTACTGGTTTATGGTAGGAAAACTGCTCTGGCTGGGTACTGGCACTCGCCTTTGTGATTCAGGCATGAAACCATGAGGTGCCCAGCTGGAATTCAGAAGAAGTACATTAGGACAGAGGGGCAGCTTTGTATTTATTTATTAGGTTCTTCCAACTTAAGTTGCCAGGGTAGCATGAGCTTTTTAAAAACAGTTGTTTCTGGCCTTCCTGTTTTAGGCTTTTATCTAATAGAGTGTGAGAAGACATGAGTTCACATGCAGCTAAGGATGAGATTATTCAAACTGAAACCAACCCCACATATCAAACCGTGGTGTCATTTTCGTCACTTTAACAGTAGAAAGGACACAGGAAAAAAAAAAGAATGAAATCATTTACTGAACTAACAGTTACATTTGTCCCCTCCTGCCTTGGATAAATAATGACTAATTTTTAAATAACAGATTGGTACAGCTCTGAGATTAGGAGACAGAAAGCATGGAAAGGTCCTCAGACCTTTTAGGTTTGGTGCTTTCCTGTTCCTCTGAATGGGCATTTTTCAAAACCATTTTGAATGTAAAAGGCTGTAGAGTTCAACACTGGGCTTCTTCCTACTTTATGAGGTTATACACAGGTTCAAGGGTGAGGGTAAAGACAAGCAGGTGCAGAGTTTCACACGGGAGGGTGGGGGGGGCGTGAGTGTGCATGCATACATATTTGTGGGAGATGAGCGTGCATGCAAATAGGTGTGCAGAAGTGAGTGCACACAAATGCACATGTGTGGGTGAGTGTGCATACAAGTACATGTGCAGGCGTTGATATGCATACATGTGTGCAGGCGTGAGTGTGTACACAGTGTGCAGGGGCCATGACTGTGCATGTATATGTACACTGCAGGGGCAATATGGAAAAAAACATGGAATACAATGCAGTTTAGCCACGACTGGCAGCCAAGATTGACCTTTAAGCCCATTTCATGGCCACTGCATATGCATTTTTTATTATATGCCAATCCCAGGACCTGGTGCAAAGATAGCCAGTAAGAAGTAAGATCTTCATCTTTTGAAGTATATAAGGGTTTTTTTTTTTATTTGCCTCTGTGCTAAGAAGAATGGCCAAATCATATTCCTCTTCATTCCAAGTTGGAGCAGAACAGCCTTAGGTTGCTGCCAACTGTTATCCTTCGAGAGGGCCACATATTTTGAGGTTTCAGAGACAGTGAGGTAGATTCTGCCTTGAGAAATATCAGACACTCAAGTACTCCGGCGACACACTGAGCAAATGTTTTTGCCAGCAGAAAGATATAGGTGGGTTCACCGTGGCGCAGGTGAGGGAGAGGAAGCTGTGCACAGTAAGCGCACTTTCTCTTCTCCAGACATCCTGGTGCCACAGTAGTTCCCATTCTCTCTCCTCTTCTGTAACTTCTAAGACCTTTGCCTTAAGTGAATGGATCCTCCTAAGACAGCCATAACTGCATTTATTTACGTCCCTGCTCTTTGACTTGAAAAGTTCACCCTTTCTTGGAGAGAGAGACTTGGAAAAGAGAGGCATGAAGGGTCTCAAGCCCTGGCAATTCTGCCTCAGTGAATCCGACTTCTACCTCCACAGTGAAATCTCCCTAGCTAGTTGAGGGGCAGCAGTATTAATTGTTCCTTCCTAAGAGTTGTCAAGCAAATCAACCTGAGAACTGGAATCCACCCAAGACACACCTATGCCTTTTACAATAAAGATTCAGTGAAGAATCCTGCCCTTCACAACAGCCTCCTCAAGTAGGGAAAACGCTACAAAAAATGGATACATGACAACCAGGAACTCCTTCACCCACAGAGAGATGTTTCTTTGATCTGCCTTATCTCTGCCATCTGTTTTCCCAACCTGGGCCAATGTGGTCTAATTTCAGTTCTTTCATATTTTCACAAGTCAGAGGGAAACCAGGAATCTTAAAGGTTTACTACTGAAAAGCACTTTATTTTCAGTAAGGTGCTTTAAAAAATAGAATTGTCATATCTGATCTGATTCAGGTAAGAAATTTCAGAAAGGGAACTCTAGAATTCATTTTTCATAAAGGGACAGTCAGTGGAATAGAGCACCAGGGGTAGGGGGAGTCTTTATAATCACACACCTCTCTCTGAATACATTTCACTTGTTAGCCATCAGGTCTGAAAACTGTAGTGCTGGCTCTGTTCAGTTATTGTTCAAGTGTGATCTCAACGACCCTGAAATTCTTCTTTGTCATTTTGCATCAGGCTGTTTTTCATGATTTCACTTTGTTCCCATCCTCACGGCCTTCTACTACGCAAGGTCTCATGATATAAATGAAGGTTATCTTCTTTTCCTTCCAGTCACTCCTCTTTACAGAAATCTCCTACATAATTGAGATGCTGTCATCAATCAGTCAACCAACCAAGCCCCCTGAACTGGGTCCTTGTGATGTTCCAGGGGTTTAATTACAAGGAATGCTAGCTCCTAACATCTCAGATACCATGGGCTCGAAGACTTGTAACATGTGATATTAGGGCAGCAATGGTTTCCTCTACTGGTCCGGGATTTGGGGTTTTAGGGGCTCTCTTCACAGATGAGAGAATTTTGCAGCTTCTTGCCACTGGCTGCAATGACGCTCCCCAGTGAGGTGGAGGCCTAGAGAGAGGGGAGGGTGACTTAAGGTGG